>NC_000012.12:74884370-75035885 GCF_000001405.40 Homo sapiens
AATATGTCTTAACTCTGCAGGAATTTTTAGCCTCCCCCTTTCCCTCAACACATACTGGTCTCTGGATGAAGAGCTTTAATTTACAACCCCCCCCAAAAAGTAGCCTGTGAGCACTTAAAAGAAAACATTACTTGTTTCCTTTAATTTTTTAGGGTATCTAAAGTTGCACTGATTAAATATTAAATAATAACAGCAGCACAAAAATGAATGTGAGAATGTGATTTCCAACTCAGGTCCCACAGATAATTCAACATATCCTTTCAAGCTGGAATTCTTTTTGTTTCTCTTCTATAGCACAAGGACATTGTGCCTTAATCTACTAAAATAAAACAAACCAAAAAAGAGAAAAGTAGCAATTGAGGGGAAAAAAAAAGACATGATTCTTATCTTGTCAGCATTTGTGACTTAACTGTATAATCCTGGATCCCTTGAAAGTCACAGAAAGAAACATGCTTAGCCTAGAAAACAACAGCAAACTATTGGAAAAGGGCTTCAGTGGGGGATGGTTAACACAGTTCCCACTGCATCACAGTTGTAGGCTCTGTCAGATTTTGACAATGCCAAGACATCTACCGAAACAAAATGAAACAAACAAAACAAAAATCTCTCAGCAAATCTGCAATGGTGGGCATCACCTTTTTATATGTCGGCCAGAAATACATTCTATAAAATATACTTTAAATAGATTTTTGTTATTCATATTCAATCTGCAAAGTATTATCTAGGAAAAAATATGTTTTGTTTACATAGCAACAAACAAATTAGAAGGTGTTTTTCTTACTCAAATTGTCTGATGAATTGGGAATCATATAGAATACAACTTGAAGGAGAAGGCTAACCATAATGCATTATTCATACCTTGATTGAGAATGCTAAATCTAAAACAAGAAGTTAAAAATAAAAGTTAATGTCTTTTTAAAACAAATCAAGAATGGAAATATGGGTAGAGTTTGTTGAAGCCCAAAGGCAAATTGGTGCTTAAAATCTGTTGCTAGTACTTATGTTGGTTGTATAGATGTCATTGCCACCTGCATATGTCTGTTTATGCCATTGTGCCCATGTATCGTGTGTCTGCCCTGTACTTTTGGAATAAGTTGCTCTATTTCCTGAAGCAACCATTATATAGCAAATGATTGCTCAATATATCACCAAGGCCCAAAGAAAGAATATGCATACAACTCAAAGCCATCTGCTATTCCAAATGCCATTTATGGAGTAAACAAGGATTGATTTAATCTGTGGACATTTATAAACTGATTCATGTGAAAGAAAGCAATGCTGAACATAAAAACTGGATTTTCTCAAATTGCTATGGATTGTTCATAAAGAGATCACTAAACTCAGAGCTCTTTAAGGTCATGTCTTAATCATTAGTTTATATCCAGGTCAATAAACATTGATTACATGTTGTATATTAAACAGATACCCTGTTCATGTAATGCTCTGAGTATGGATGACAGTCATAATAGAAAAAATAATAATTAACATATGCTGAGGACTTAGATGTTGTAATAAGAAATTTATATGTTGTTTTATGTAATCTTCAAAGTTACATTAAGAAGAGGACATCATTATTCTTATTTTAGAGGTGACATCAAGAGGGATTGCGTAATATGCGCAAGAGACAGTAAAAGGAGGTGACTATAGGAAAGAGTGGTGGCTAAAGTATCACCAGTCCTAAAAATTATGCTTAAGTTCTCATCTAGAATTCTTGGATAAAATATTGACTTAAAATTAAGGAGACTTTATTGTTGTTTTTTTTCTTTGTCTTAATGAGAAGAGTAAGCAAGTAAAAGCAGATGCTCTTGTCAATATTTATAGCTGAAAAAATATTCTGTTTGTTAATGATATCGTCTATATATTCTGGAATTATTTTTATAATTTCTAGTGTCAGAGCTTGACCACAAATACGTCCAGAAAGAGATTACCCTATGGAGGCCACAAAGAAAATATATGGAACAGACAGAAGAATCATGTCTACTAGAAAATGTTGGGCATGATTTCTGACACATGAAACTCACTCAAAGCAAATAAATCAGAATACTAATTTTTTGAAGAAAATGTAGCATCCGAGAAACTGGCTTTAAAAAGATGTGAGGCAGCTTTGATAACTATTTAAAGCAAATCTTGGGCCCATAATCTTCTACGAGTAGAAATAAAGTTTTAAAACATACCTCAGATGTGGCTAAGGAAAACAATATTCTAGGAGGAGCATCCTAGAGGTCTGATCAAGGAGAATACGGAGAAATAACAACAAGGAAAGTCCTCCCAGACAGCTGACTCAAAGTCTAGTCAAGGAAGCTCCCCAAACAAGGGATCTTCCCTATCCAGGAAAGGGTCTTTTGCATAGCCTGACTGGCAGGACTTTATGTTTACTACAAACAAACCAATACCTTTTCTTTCATTTTCAGAATATGGCTATTTTGTGATTATGCTCTCCTTGTGTGTATTACTCCATTTTCACACTGCTTATAAAGACATACCCAAGACTGAGAAGAAAAAGTAGGTGTAATAGACTCACACTTCCACGTAGCCTGGAAGGCCTCACCTTTATGGTGGAAGGCAAAAGGCACTTCTTACACAGTGGCAGCAAGAGATAATGAGAGAGAAGAGAAAGCGGAAACCCCTTCTAAAACTATCAAATCTCATGAGACTTATTCACTACCACGATAACAGTATGGGGGAAACTGCCCCCCGTGATTCTATTATCTCCCACTGGGTCCCTCCCACAACACATGGGAATTATGAGAGTAGAATTCAAGCTGAGATTTGGATGGGGACACGGAGCCAAACCATATCATTCCTCCCCCAGACCCTGCCAAATCTCATGTCCTCACATTTTAAAACCAAGCATGCCTTCCCAACAGTCCCTCAAAGCCTTGACTCATTTCAGAATTAGCTCAAAAGTCCACAGTCTAAATAAAGTATTATCTGAGACAAGGCAAGCTCCTTCTGCCTATGAGCCTACAAAATCAAGAGCAAGTTAGTTACTTTCTAGATACAACGGGGGTTCAGGCATTGGGTAAATACAGCAGTTCCAAATGGGAGAAATTGGCCAAAACAAAAGGGCTTCAGGACCCATGTGAGTCAGAAATCCAGCATGGCAGTCAAATATTAAAGTTCCAAAATTATCTCCTTTGACTCCATGTCTCTTATCCAGGTCATGGTGTTGCAAGAGGTGGGTTCCTATGGCCTTCGGCAGCTCTGCCCATGGCTTTACAGTGTACTGCCTCCTCCCAGCTGCTTTCATGCACTGGCATTGAGTATCTAGCTTTTCCAGGCACACACCGCAAGCTGTCAGTGGACCTACCATTCTGGAGTCTGAAGGATGGGGGCCCTCTTCTCACAGCTCCACTAGGGGGTGTCCCAGTAGGTAATCTGTGTGGGGCCTCTGATTCCACATTTTCTTTCCTATTGCCCTAGCAAAGGTTCTCCATGAGAGCCCTGCCCCTGCAGCAAACTTCTGCCTGGACATCCTGGTGTTTCCATATATCCTCTGAAATCTAGGCAGAGGTTCCCAAACCCCAATTCTTTACTTCTGTGCCCTGGCAGGCTCAATACCACGTGGAATCTGTCAAGGTTTAGGCTTGACACTTGCACCCTCTGAAGCCACGGCCTGAGCTATATGTTTGCCCCTTTCAGCCATGGCTAGAGTGGTGGGAGGCAGGGCACCAAGTCCCTAGGCTGCACACAGCATGGGGACACTGGGTCTGGCCTATGAAACCACTTTTTCCTCCTAGGTACCTGGGCCTGTGATGGGAGGGGCTGCCTTGAAGACCTCTGACATACCCTGGGGATATTTTCCCCATTGTCTTAGGGATTAACATTTGGCTCCTCATTACTTATGCAAATTTCTGCTGCCATTTTGCCTCAGAAAATGGGTTTTTCTTTCCTTTCACATTGTCAGGCTGCAAATTTTCCAGACTTTTATTCTCTGCTTTCCTTATAAAACTGAATGCCTTTAACAGCACCCAAGGTATCTCCTGAATGCTTTACTGCTTAGAAATTTCTTCTGCCAGATACCCTAAATCACCTCTCTAAAGTTCAAAGTATTACAAATCTCTAAGACAGAGGCAAAATGCCACCAGTCTCTTTGCTAAAACATATCAAGAGTCACCTTTGCTCTAGTTCCCAACAAGTTCCTCATCTCCATCTGAGATGACCTCAGCCTGGACCTTATTGTCCATATCACTATCAGGCTTTTGGCCCAAGCCATTCAACAAGTCTCTAGGAAGTTCCAAACTTTCCCACATTTTCCCATCTTCTGAACCCTCCAAACTGTTCCAACCTGTGCCTGTTACCCAGTTCCAAAGTTGCTTCCACACTTTTGGGTATCTTTTCAGCAGCACCCCACTCTACTGGTACCAATTTACTGTATTAGTCTGTTTTTATGCTGCTAATAAAGACATACCAGAGACTGGGAAGAAAAGATAGGTTTAATGGACTCACAGTTTCACGTGGCTGAAGAGGCCTCACAATCATGGCAGAAGGCACAAGGCACTTCTTACATGGTGGTACAAGAGAGAACGAGAGAGACACCCAAGTAGAAATCCCTTATAAAACTATCAGATCTTGTGAGACTTATTCACTACCGTGAGAGCAGTATGGGGGAAACTGCCTCCATGATTCAATTATGTCTCACCGGCTCCTTCCCATAACACATGGGATTTATGGAAGTACAATTGAAGATGAAATTTGGATGGGGACACAGAGCCAAACCATATCGCCTTGTTTCACCCTTAAATAATTAAGTAGTGATGGGAGCAGGATGTGCAAATAATATACCTTTTTTGACAGTAAACCTTAGACCAAAAGGAGTCATAGCTAGACCCAATTGAAAAGAATTAACATAACCTAAAGATCCTAAAATTTGAGCTGTATGTCATGATTGACATACTTTTGTGGTTGACAGCTTTGAGGTAGGCTGAACGTTTTCTATATGTGAGGAATAGTGAAAAAGATATGGGTAACAAGAAGGAACTAGCTAGCTACTCAGAAACTCTCTTGCCTGTTTTGGAGAACATTAAGACATATGCCAGCTTTCCTGGCAGTAAGGTTGTGACTTTGTAATTAGATTTGGACAATAAAAAGCAGGGCAAAGTGATGTGATTCCACTTCCAAAAGTAAACTCTCAAATGCCAAATTTTCCTCCCTCTCTCTCTCTGTCTCTCTTTGTTTCTGTAGCCATAAGAAAATGACTTCAAGATAGAGAAGCCACACAATAAAAGGAGCCCAGATAATCAAGTCACCCTTTCAAAAAGAGATTTTCAGGTGATCCACACTACTAACAGTAGATTATGACATGAGGAACAAGATTTATGAACACACATAAAGCCCTTTGATTTGGGGGAGGTTTGTTATGGCAGCTAACAGCATTCCCCTGTCTAATATGTGACTCATACATCCTTGTATATCTTACTCAAATCTCACTTATTTGCTCATGGTTTTTAGCAATGCCAACCCCTTAATATTATGTAGGGAAAGGGTGTCAGATCGATACAAAACATGTGGCAGGTGAGATAGAGTCACCTTCTTCTAGCATCTGCAGTGATAGGATATTGGAATTTTCTTTTCCCCACTGGAAAATTCTGATGAATTCAAGTTATCCTCCCCGTCTCTTTCCTGTCCTAAACATGTGTGTGTGCACACACACACAGAGGAAAGAGAGAGAGGAGAGTGTGTGTGTAATAGAGGAGAGAGAGTGTGTGCTGTTCAACCTCTGAGGTATTCTCATCTGGTGGTAAGGATGTAGGATAACACTGTTTACGGTTGATGACTTGCTCACACAGCAAGAGTATATCTCAAAAATTCAGCCACCCAGAAATCACAAAATGATTGCACCCCATTTGGTAATATAGAATAGCAGAGAAAAGTCCATTAAATGAATTTTATCCACTCTATATGAATATAAAAATATGAGCCATAACGCAGGGCAAATCTCTGAGTAAGCCAGAGGAGCTCAGGCTGATTCCTGATATGAGTCTAATGATGAGTCATGGCCAAGCTATTTATAACAGAGTCAGTCCCGGCAAGAGGTAAGAGCCTGTGCAAAGCTTCACTAAAACCGGAGTTTCTGCTGGCAGCTACCATACTAAAGAAACACATGTGATACCGTCAATGCAGTGTCCCTGTGTAATAAACCAACAAACCCTTCATATTCTTTTAGTATCCATCTATGGAATGAGAATATTAACATAGTTACATAAACTAGCCTCTAATTTTGGAAGCTACTTAAAGCAGAATTATCAAAGATTTTTGTCTTTGGCTATAAATGTGATTTCAAACATTAAAAGAAGGCTGTTTAATAAAGACAAGAAAACTAGACTGAGTTAATGTAATACATTACAAACATGAAATTGATTAAATACAGCAAAAAAAAACCTCCCAGATGCATTCAGGAACATCATAAAGAATATTGAGTCTTCAGTATGTACCATATAGTTACACTGCAAAAAATTTCATTTGGTAATTTGAAAACTATTTGAAACTAATTTCATTTGAAATTTTGGAGGCTGGCTAAATGGATTTGCACAAATATAATTTGTGCAATATATATAGATATTAAGAAAATAGAAACAATTTTCTTTCATTTTGCATATATGGAGAGATGGCTGAACAACTTTAACTGCAAGCAATTTTGTCTAACCCAGGTAACAACAAGATACAAGAACCAACTACGTCAGGATCACTGGGTTCCTTTTTCTCACGCAGTTATATGGGACCCATACCATATAGCTAGAATCAGAATTATATTTTGAGTGTTGCTAGAAGCTTCATTTTTCTAACTCTCCACTTATCTTCCCTAAAGTTAGTGGGATCATCATCATTTGCACAAAAATATATTAGAAAGTTGTCTGGAACCTTTCAGCTTTGAGATTATAAACTAGATACCTTGTAAGATTTTTATAGTGGTTAAAGATAAGGAATGTGAAGCATCTGGCCTGACATAAAGCTGGCATATATTAAATTTAAAAATATTGAGATAACATGGAAAATAAAAATGCATAGGTAAGTAGTATTATTTACTCAATCTCATCAAAATGCCAATTCATGTTTCATCTTCACGACACTACAGATAGGGATCTAATACTAATAAACTTATCTTAAATAACAGGGGAATGAGTCACTCTTAAAAAAAATCTCATCCTTGAGTTAGAGAATTATTATGTAAGCCATTTTGGGATTGGGGTCCAGGTTTTTTGCATCTCAGAATTGAGCTCCCTTAGTTTTCTTCATCTTGCAAAATGTGGAAAACAGAAAATTTTATAGGGTCTCAAAGAATCCATCTTTCCTTTTCAAGGCCAGTGTTTCCAATTTGAAAAACCCATAATTTATATGTGTGGTGGGCATATTTCCTTAGTTAACTATCATCTGCTTTTAAGGTGATCCTCAATGTCATGTGATGTAAAGGGCTATTTAAAATAGCCATCTAAAATAGACAAATTGGCCTGATAATTTCATCTGCAGTTGCTTCTCAAGGAGAATTAACTGATCTTTTCTCTCAGCTGTTACAAAGACAGATAATATACAACCAGCTGTTGTGGATGCCCCTCCCTCCTATTTTAAATACACAATTTCAAAGAAAAAATGAATAAAAATAAAGAAGAAGGCACTTTCAAATAGGTTTACAATATTTGGTTGTGGGTTACTTAAATGGCTATGTTAAATCTTTTCTACATTAGGATAAAAAATTAAGGAAGAGATTGGTAAAGATAGGAGATGAATAATTTTAAAAACCTGTGAAGAGTTTTGATAAAAGACCTTTATCACGACACAGTGAAGCTGGGGGGAGTGAAGAGCTATTGGCTTCATAGGCTTTTTAGACATACATTGAAAATTCACAGAGCCACAGAATTTGAATGAAGTGAATGACCTCTCCACAGCTTTGCAAAAGCAAGACTATGGCTGCTGAAGGAATCTCAATACAATGAAAGCATTTGGGGAGAGCATTTTTATCACTGTTGATAACTAAAAAGTGCACCTGGCTTCTGAACTGCAGAGTTATTTTTTTATCATTATGAAAAGCTTTTTAAGATTAAAGGAAATCATCTAAGATTTTATCTGTAAGAAGGTAGAAGAGGAAGTAGGACACACAAAAGTACAGCGAGTGAGCAAAAATAGCAACGCTGAATAAAACCAGATGAAGCTTGAAGTACGAACATATTATTTATTCATTTGACAGTCTTTGGAATCAAACAAGAATTACATGTTTTGAATACATCAAATATTAGAATTTTCCAGGGATCACAAAAAAATAAAAAGAAGGAAAGCAGCGGCAAGGATCACATTATATCCTAAGATGAAGCTGCGGGAGGGTAGCTGTTCTTGCTCTCATGGTCACAATTAAGTGCTCTCACTACCACCTTTCAAATTTTACTCCTTCTCAACATTGACTTTGTTATAAAGAATCTCATGTACTGTAATTTTCTAGCTTGGGCTCTAGGATACTGTGATAAATTTATTGAAATTAGCCATTAATGGTATTTTACTTAGATTATCTTATGTAAGCCTCACAAATATTTAAGAGAGCCACATTAGTACCCATATTTTCCAGATGAGGCAATGGTAGTTAATCCATGTGACCAAGGAACATAGTAATTGCTACAGCAAGAATTTGGACATTGGAATCCAGAGCCCTGCTGCAAGTGGTGAGCCTCACTGTCTCCTGAGGAAGCACCAGCAGGATTCTGATTATTTCACCAGGTGAAGCAGGGGCAGCACCCCTGGTCACAAGGTCAACTAAACTGAAAAACTGAATAGGCTTTGACACTTTCTCCAGGCTTTTGAGTGGCTGCCAAGGTGCGCTGGAGAAGAGATAGAAAGCAAAGAGAAGGCATGCGATAATACAGTGGCTATGGCATACATCTGTAAATTTTCATGTCTCTTGAAACCCCCTCCCTTTTTTTAAACAATATACTCTTATTCTATGCTGAGCTTAAAACTGGGATTTGCATTTTTAAAACAGAAGTGTTGCTTAAAGGGGGTGATGGGGCTCAGTGTTTTAAATGAGGACTGTTTCTACACCTGTAACAATAGCTGACACTATGTGCCAAGCACTGTTTAGAGAAAGCACTTTATAGATATCAAGTCATTTAATGCTAGCACAATCTTAAATTTAACCTCTGACAAAGGAGTCACAGGTTAAATAATTTTCCTAAAGTCACACAAATAATACATAGCAGAGCTGGGAAAAGAATTTGGGCAGTCAGGTCCCAGAATACCCCTGTTCACCATTACGTAAATTGCACACAAAAAGGTTGAAGAGTGAAAGAAATAGAACAGACCACAGTGGCAATTACTCTCTCTACAAACTACTTTGAGCAAGGAGAAACATAAACTTCTGGATAAAGAAAATATGGCACATATACACCATGGAATACTATGCAGCCAAAAAAAGGATGAATTCATGTCCTTTGCAGGGAAGTGGATGACGCTGGAAACCATCATTCTCAGCAAACTAACACAGGAACAGAAAACGTGTTCTGACTCATAAGTGGGAGTTGAACAATGAGAACACATGGACACAGGGAGGGGAACATCACACACCGGGGCCTGTCAGGGGGTAGGGGGCTAGGGGAGGGATAGCATTAGGAGAAATATCTAATGGAGATGATGGGTTGATGGGAGCAGCAAACCACCATGGCATGTGTATGCCTATGTAACAAACCTAGACGTTCTGCACATGTATCCCAGAACTTAAAGTATAATAATAATAAAAAAGAAAGAAAGTCTAAAATTTTTATTTCAAAAGTTAAGTTTCTCCATCCAAGAGGCCCTCAAAATTTTGTGATGAGGAGTTAAAGTTTTTAGTAAAGTTGAATGATGGCATAGTTTACAGCACCTGGAGGCACTGCTAAAAGACATCAAATAAGGTATATTTTTGGTGACGGTGCTTGTAGCAAAGCATTTAACCAAATTTAAAAGAAAATTACTACTAGTGGAATCCAGGCTATCTCAGCCATGTCAGTGTAGAATGGTCTCCTGGTCCAGAAAATTGTGGTGTGGGCAGCACAACTGCTATTGATCATCAGGTTCTTCAGGATCTATTGTTCTGTGACAACTGATCACTTAAAAGCATCAGTTCTAATCCTCTAGGGTAACCCAGACCAGGGGAGTGCAGATGCACAAGTATGAGTTTTCACCACTGATAATTCATTACCTGGGTTGCATATAATATTAATTCTCCATCATTTGAGCACATTGATGGTAGAAATGTAACTCCACTACACTACAAATAACACAGGGACATGGAGAGAAAAAGATGGAATCCTAACCATCTCTCTGTCTTCACAGTATTATAAAGATAATTATTTTAGAAATTGAGAAGTGGATTGCAGAGAGAGCTTATTCAAATTCGGAGCCTAATAATAAATACAACCATTATAATGCAAATGTAGAAATTGTCCCATTTGAAAATAAACATTTATCTCAAATGGATCATTTATCACTGCCTAAAGTTTAGGCCAGTTCTTGCAAACACTGTAAGTATTCACTGTATTATTCCATAAAACAAGAGATACTTAAAGAATTTGCCAGTCCAGAACTTAAAAGATATTTCATAAGAAAAACGTATATATTTAATGAGAATATATCCAATTCGAAAATGGAAAATGGCCGGGCACAGTGGCTCATGCCTGTAATTCCATCACTTTGGGAGGCTGAGGTAGGTGTGTAGCTTGAGCCCAGGAGTTCAAGACCAACATGGACAACACGGTGAAAGCCTGTCTCTACAAAAAAAATACAAAAATTAGCCAAGCTTGGTAGCATGCTCCTGTAGTCCAAGCTACTTGGCAGGTTGAGGTGGGAGGATCACTTGAGCCTGGGGAAGTCAAGGATGGAAGTGAGCATGATAGTGCCACTGCACTCCAGCCTGGGCGACACAGTGAGATACTGTCTCAAGAAAAAAAAAAGAAAAAAAAAAAAACTATGGTTATGTGTTAGATTATTCAAAGGAAGGTATTGTCCTGTAGACTTGATGTAACTTTGGGTTGAGATCATGATAATGATGAAGAAACATCAATCAAAAAAAATAAGAATACACACTTTGTGACATCATTGACACCAAGTTGTCCTCTCTTTGCTAAGTTTTAGATTTCTCTCTCTATTCCTTTTAGTTTTATCTCTTTTGACAAGATCATAAAGTAGAAAGTGTCTTAAAGGAACCATAAAAATAGGAAATAGGCAAGCAAGTAGATATGGTTGTTTAGTATTTTAACTTTTTCCTTGTCATTTTTATTAAAGAAAATCTATCAATATTTATTTATCTTACAAAATAAACACTTAACAAAAATCAACACAACCTCATAAAAACAACTATTGGAATTTCAGTTTAGGAAAATATGTCTAGTTTAACTGGAAAAATATTTATTTTTATATTTATGATACATTTATAAAAATATGTTGAATATTTGAATGATTTTTCTCAAACTGAACTAAAGAAAAGTGCCAGGGAAAAGCTAAAAGCACATGAGAGCTTTGCAGGATGACCTGAACAGTGATGGTGAAGTGAAAATATGCGAGAATCCAGGAGACTCAGGTTTTTGCGATGTACTCCCTTGGACAGTACTGTCATCAGGACTAATGAAACGAATGTATATTAGCACAAGTTTTGAGGTCTTTGTACACATACACACAAATACACACACATCATATATGTTGCTTGATGATGGGGATGCATTCTGAGAAGTCATTAGGCCATTTCTTCCTTGTGTGAACATGATAGGGTATATTTACACACACCTAGAAATATAGCCTACTGCACATCTAGGCTATATGGGTTTATAGCCTATTGATCCTAGGTTACAAACCTGTACTGCAGGTTACTGTACTGAACTATAAGCAATGGTAACACAATGGGAATTGTATATGTAAACATATCTAAACATAGAAAAGATGCAATAAAATACAATATAAAAGATTTTTATAAATGGAACACCTTTTTAGAGCACTGACCATGAATGGAGCTTACAGGACTGGAGGCTGCTGTGGGTGAGTCAGTGAGCAGTGGTGAGTGAATGTGAAGGACTGGGAAATTCCTGAACACTATTGTAGACTTTATACGCACTCTACACTTAAGCTACACTGAAGTTATTTAAACAATACTCTCTTCAATAATAGCTTAAGCTTAGCCCACTATACCTTTTTACTTTATAAACTTATTTTTTTTTTAATTTTTGGACTCAACAGCTTAAAACACAAACACATTGTACAGCTATACAAAAGTATATTTGTATATACTTATAGAATATATGTATATATACAATAAATTCTATAAAGTTTTTTCTATTCTTTTTAAGCTTTTAAGCTGTTTTATGGAAAACAAAGACACAAACACACATATTAGCTTAGACACACACAGGGTCAGAATCATCCATATCATTGTCTTTCACCTCCATTTCTTGTCTGACTGGAAGGTGTTCAGGGGCAATAACATGCTCAGAGCTAAATCTCCTGTGATAACAATGCCTCCTTCTGAAATATCTCCTGAAGGACCTGCATGAGGCTGTTTTACAGTTAACTCTTTTTGTTTTATGAGTAGAGGCAGTACACTCTAAGATAATGATGAAAAGTATAGTGTAGTAAATATGTAAACCAGTAGCATAATCACTGATTATTATTGTCAAAAATGGGGTACTGTACATATAATTTTATATGCTATACTTTCATGTGACTAGCAGTGCAGTAGCTTTGTTTACACCAGCATTTAGCGCAAACACCTGAGTAATGCATTGTGCTTGATTAGGCGACAGAAATTCTTCAGGTCCATTATAATCTTATGGGACCAACTCTGTACATGCAGTTCATCAATACTGAAATGTCATTTTTCAGGGCATGTCTATACACACACAACACACACACAAATATATTTATGTATAAATACATTATTTTATGTTTGAACTTAGCAACTAACCAGAGGAAAAAAAGTGCTAGACACAGAAACAGATATATAATAGATACTGACTATGCTTTTTTATTATTTTAATTTTTATCTATTTATTTATTTATTTAGAGATCAGGTTACGAGACTGGCTAATTTTTGTATTTTTGGTAGAGATGGGGTTTTACCATGTTGACCAAGCTGGTCTCGAATTCCTAGGCTCAAGTAATCCACCTGCCTCAGCCTCTTAGAGTGCAGGTGTGAACCACTGCCTGGCTTATGACTTGTTTTCATTTTTGTTTGTTTGTTTAGTGACATCATAAATAATAAAAGCCAGAAGCTTTGCAGCACATAACCATACCACAATTCAGGACTTGTGTTTTGGCATGTTGAAACAAGAAATTGTAGTGCATCAGAAGAGACATGGGCTGAAAACCTGCCTCTGACATTCAATGGGTGTGATCAGAGAAGAGCAATTGGTTCATTTAGTTTCAGTTTCATCAAATTTTAACATGTATTTTTATTAAATATCCTTTCATTTGTAAGTAACAGAATTGAAATTCAGAATAACCTTATAAAATGGATAATTATTAGCTTCGGTATGATTGGTTCTAGAGGTGAAAACATTGTTTTTAAGGCTCTTTCTCTTTAGGTCCTGTGTCTTTCTGCAGAAACTTCAAGTTTACTTGCTTCTCTGTGTCTTCGTGTTGTCATCATTATGTAAATATATGCCTTCATGTGGCCAGGGGGAGGTTTTGCAGGCATCTCTAGATTTACAAGGTCTCTATGGTTCATGATTCTAGAGAAAGATAAATCTTCTCTCTCCTGGAACCTATGTGTCAAATTCTTGGTAAAGTTCTCACTTAAGCTGTAGGAGTCGCAGAGCCATTTCTGAAATGCTCTCCATGCCAACAGCGTACAGTACTCTAAATTGTAAGTTTGCATGGCCTACAAGTACCCCTATGGCTGGAACACAGGCATGCTATGATTTCAGTTCCAAAGAGGCAGTGGGCTAAAAGTGAAGTTGTTTCCCAAAGGAAAGAAAGAATAGGCAGAACTGGCCGGGCGCGGTGGCTCACACTTGTAATCCCAGCACTTTGGGAGGCCAAGGTGGGAGGATTGCCTGAGGTCAGGAGTTCAAGAACGGTGTGACCAACATGGTGAAACTCCATCTCTACTAAAAATACAAAAAAAATTAGCTGGGCATGGTGGCATGCACCTGTAATCCCAGCTACTCCAGAGGCTGAGGCAGGGGAATTGCTTGAACCCGGGAGGTGGAGGTTGCAACGAGCCGAGATCAGGCCACTGCATTCCAGCCTGGGTGACACAGAGAGACTCCATCTCAAAAAAAAAAAAAAAAAAAAAAAAAGCAGAACTTTCAGAATTACAAGTGGGAATTATTTGTAATTATACACAAAACCATATGAAATCCAATATGAAAGTGGAAATAGATATTTTCACACATAGAGGCCTCTTAACATTTATTTCCTATGTCCTGTCTTTCAGGAAACTATGGTGGATGTATTCTAGACAGAAGAAGGATTAAACCAAGATAAAAACAATGTGAATGAGGAAAGTGGGAGTAACAGGGATTCCAAGAGAAAGGTAAAGAGAATCCCCAAGATGTTGGCAAAAGATGGTCCCTTGGTAAATTGTATACAATTGTGTTAGAAAGATTGGATAAAAAGACAGGAGGTTATGAAGCAAATTGAGAGAATACACAATGTATTTAATGAAATTGAGAAGAATTTTAAACATTGTCAGAAAGCTTTGGGACTAAATTAATAAACAATATATAGAAAATTAAGCAAAAGAAAATTGAGACAATTAATACACAGAGGAAAAACAACCATTGTTCATGATGAGGCAGAATAATTTTGAATACTTCTCTATGAATTACTCTTTATATTTCTTTAGTTTGTATGCAGGTTGGATTTATGAAAAGTTTCGCAAGGGGATTGTGAGGGTGATTAAGTAAGAAATTGAAAGAATAAATCAAAGCACTAAAGCACTAAAAAATGTAGATGACTCAGAGAAAAAAAAAAAACCTTTATCTCTATTTGAGCATCTAATTAAAGAATTGTTCACTATATGGATAAAGTCTTTCCCCAACCTCAATGCTGTGGTTAAAAAAGTCTTCCATAATACTTACTGGGTCAGCCCTGTGTTAACCTGAGAATTAACCAGAAAGCAATAGCCACTCTCAAAGTTAGCATAAATGTGAGTCAGCATCACCTGGAGAAATGGCAAAAGGCAGGACCAAGGCCACAGAGAAATGAGGAGGGAAGGCCAGCATCAGTGGAATCAGAGGTGAATGTCACTGGCTGTGGTGAGAAGGTTTTAGTAACTCAAGGACTCTAACAAGAGAAAGGAGTGAACTGGAGCAAGGCTAGTGCGGTGACAGCGATAAGGAAGTGTCAGAGTAGCCTCTGAGACAAAGGCTGCTTTAGAGTACTTTCATTATAACCTATATGCCCTAGCTCTTTTTTTTTTTCTAGTTGGGTCACACTGGGAAATGTGAATAACAAAATTATTATAGAGAAATATGAGGCACGGTAGGCAAGTAATTTGTATAAAGTGCATTCTGCCTGTGTATCAGCAGTCTTCTATCTGGGGACATAAAAATGTAACTGTACTTTGTTTATGGATTCGACTTATAAGAGATATCACTTTCATGTTAGCTAAACTTACGTCTATATATCTCTATATATTCAATTTCATACTTGTTCAATATTGTCCATGGAACAAAATAATTTTAAAAATTATCATGGCCTAAGGCCTCCTTGGTGTATTTATAGTACATCAGTGGAAACATTGATGAGAGAGATGTTAGACAGCATTCATAAGCACTATTATCAGGATAAAAAGGAGAGATCTTTAAACTGATGTTGCAAATTGCATTTATAAATGCTGAGGGATAGTGAGAAATTTGCCATTGAAAATAATTTTAAAAAACAGTAGAAAAATGAAATATTTTTTAAAAATATATAATATGCAATTATGCTTCTAAAAAGTTAGATGTATGTTTGTCTGTTTGTGTCTCTGTGTGTTTAATGTTGTCAGTCTTGGGAACTCATTATCTTCCATTCATGCGGTTTCCTGCAACTGATGCTGTATATTCACTGAAAAAGCTGACATTACTGCACAGTCGGCTTGAAATTTTCTATGCACCACAGTGCAAAGCCTTAAAGTTAAGTTCCGTTTCCACAGCAACCATAGTTTAGCTCCTCAAGCATAGTTAGACCTTTTTTGTGGTCTTAACCTACATGTACACGGTAAGGATTGCTGATCTTTGATGCACTATTTGTGTTTTATTGGTTATATAAGCCTATGTCTGTGGGTTTTTTCCTGCATTTGAAAACTTACTGACAATTTTGCATAGGAGTAGCTGTTGAAGTATAAATTGGGGGAAAATCATAATTGTGAGCAACTGGGTATTCAGATACATTCCCTATAAAACTGATGACTAGTTCACTCAAAAAATAAATACTTGATAATTCATCTATGAAAACAACACGTTTGACCCAATTTTTGAGGGCCCTCTTCTTCACTCACACACAAGTGCATACATACACCCTGGAGTAATTATGTTTCTTCCCTGAGCCACAAATGCTCTCTTTCCAATTAATAATCTTAGTTATCACTGTATGATGGCTGTCTTACAAATCTACTAAACTAAATGGTTCATGTGCACAGCGGATCACAGCCTTTTAATCACTCTTCTTCTAAGTCACTGAGTCTCTTGGCTTCCTATAAATTAAGTCACCCTAAGTCTATCACACAGGGCTACTTCATTCACACTCTGGAGAAAAAACATACCCAATTTTTGTATTTATAAGTGATCCCCACTTCCCCGTTGTTAAAGAAACAGGAACAACTGAGGTGAACCCTTGACAGCGCTTTATTATACACATGGAAACATTCACACAGGAGCAGTCAAGAAAGTGATTCCCAAAAAATTTTAGGGGAAGACTGTTCATAAAACTAAGGAAAAGTAACATTAGTTATTTACCAAAATATCACATTGGTTGCTTCTAAAAGAATGATACCTTGTTTTGATCTTTTCTGATCAGATTTTTAAAAAATCTTTTGCAAATTTATTAAATCATAACATGAACCAAAATCTACCAAGCAAATGGAAAACAGTTCTTGATCAGATCTTAAAGACACAGCTTAAACTCAGATTCCGTTCACAACACTTCATGTTGAGAAGTTTTTGTGTCATACTTGAGAATTATTAGTTACAATCCAATTGTAAGATTTCTTCTCAGTGATTTTTTTTACTCCCATGATCATGACTTTTATTTACCATTGGGAATTTATGTTTTACGCACACACACACACACACACACACCATATTGTCTTTTTCTCCAAGTTGTCCAAAGTCATGGTCAAAGCACATGTGAAAAGAAGGCAGACGTTTCTATTTCAGATGTGCAAATAATCCTGTTCATTGTTTAAATACTTCACCTATTTTTTGAACAAAATGACTGGACAAGATCATTTTACTGTGAGGATTGGTAATCCTACAAAATTTTGATTCATAAACACATCTACTCTCAGTAATTCTTAGTAATTAACCTATTTATAGACATTGAGGAGCTTCACATTACTCAGCTGTATTCAAAATCTTTCACATTCTTCTCTAGCTTTCTAACCTCTTCTCCTTTAGCATAATTTTTTTTCTATTATGTATGAGAAATGGATATCATCCTAAACAGTGTCTACCACCAGCTGCTTTCCTCATCCAACCTGCAAACTTTTGTATACCCATAATTATTTTCCTCTCATCTCTAAAGAAATAAATCTATTCCTTTATGAAGTACGTTACCCTTACTGTAGATACTATGTTCACCAGCATTCTATTGACCTTTTCTCCAGCCATTAACATATTTTGTTTTATGTTGACAATGTTTTCTCCACTGCTAGTTCTTCCTTTCTGCTTACATGTCAAGTGTTTTCTATCTTAAAAATTAAAATATAAAAAATAAATTTTTAAAACATCTGCCTTTGAATTTATCTCTACCTATTATTTCTTCTTTCTTTCACTTCTAGGATGACCAAAGAATAACTTAAACTCATTATCTTTCTTACATAACTTTCTCTTATTTGTCAGTTCACAATGTTTGGATTCTTACTATTACCTCATCATTTCACTAGAATTGCACTAATTAAGTCTTACAATAATGTGCTGATTGCTAAAGCAAAAGTTATTTTTCTAGTATCTTCTTATCTGACTGTCACTTTCAGTACTGATTACTATGCTTTCTTAAATATCTCATCCCTTGGATTCCATAGTATCATCTTCTCTTCCTCATCTGATTCTCCCCCTAGCTCCTTTGCAATCTTATTTGCAATTCTTTTCTGGTTGCTTTACTCTGCCCTACTCTCTCATCAGCCATTTTTTCTTTCACTATGTATTCTACCCCTTGGAGATCTTGTACACTGCAATGTCTTCAATTGTCTAAATTTGAACCAAATGCCTTCTCTTCTCCTTCATCAAGCTGTATGTTCTACTTTTATCTTTATTTTGTTCGGTGACAACAAGGACAACCAAAAGGCCAAAACAGAATACTGAGAGTTGCAGTCCATCCAGTTCTACTCATCACTTCCTTCACCCATTGTCTAAAGTTCTGTAAGTTGTTTGCTTCTAATTATAATTTAAATGCACCCTCTCATCTGCATCCCTGCACTTATTATTTTGCTTCAGCCTTACACAGATCACCTGGAATATTGAAATTGCCTTTTACTTGGCCTCCCGATCTCCAGTCTCCTTCTTTATCAGTATATTCTACATACTTTTCCCAAAGTGATTTTCTTACCAGTACAAATATGAATATGTCAGAGAGTACCTAAAATCCTTCAATGACTTCCATAATTTTTTGAATTACATGGAGATTTCTCATGGGCTATGTACAGTTCACCATCATTTATTTTCTTGATCTTTAGCCTTTCTAAATTAGTCACAATCTCTAATGGGAGTTCATATGTTATTCAATATTTGTATTCCCAGTGCCAAATATTTTCCCTTAGAAACAAAAAAAAATGAACAAATATTGCTGAAAGAATGCAAGTGTGAATGAAAGATACACACATAAAAAATACAGTCCAAATGCTCTAAGAGAAAGGAGTAAATATGAGAATTTATCAATTGGATTTTAGTAATATCCCTATAAGCTATTATTTTTGTAAAATCTCCACTCTATTTTTTCTGTATTTTTATCAGCTAACATAGTCATTTCAGTTTAGTTCTACAGGATACAAATATTTTTAGGTAGGTGGCTTCTTGGGGAATGAGATCAGCACCTATAAGAGAGGGAAAGATACAGGAGAAGATGAAGGCAGAAGTTGAACTACAATGTTATAAACAGGCTTCATACAATCCTACAGGGGGCGCTAAAGCTGGGATGGCCCTTGAGAGTTGTTCTGAATTGGAGCAACAGGACTTGGGCTTTTGTAACCCTGAATAGACCAATCATTGTGAATGGGCTGCCTAGTCTGCCCACCTTGACAGTGCAAGGCTTGGACTGAGGAAACTTCCCTTGTCAATGGAAATCTGTGAATCATCACCACATTACACTCCTGACAGTTGGATGAATAAGCTATGCCACTTACCATAGCAAGAACTGTCCAGGTTTTTGGTGGATGCTTCACTCTCTCTTTCCCACTATAAATGCTGTCTTTGCAACTGTCCAAACCCCACATGAAACAACAAACTACTTAGACTCCTTTGGCCTCTTCATATATTTCTGAGACACATTCCCCATGCCCAACCACCACCTCCTGAGAGGATCAAACTCATAATGTTATTAATCAATTAAATCACAATTGGGGAGACACATATGCTACCAAAAAAGTGTGGAATATATTCCAAATTGAGGACTTAATTAATTTTTAGATAATTTGCTCTCTTAGAAGATAATCTGGTCATAGACTTCCCTTCTTTAGAAAAATTAAATAGATGACTTTATACTGCTTTAAAATAGTGTCTATATATAGTGAGATATATCTATATATACATATATATATCTTGGAGGTCATATAGATATATCTCTATATATCCATATATATCCACAGAGATATATCTTTATATACAGATACTTAGCGATATATCTATATATAGAGATATATGTGTATATATGTATATGTATGTATATATATACATGTGTATACATAGATATACACATGTATATATATGATTTTATGTATATAAGTATAATTATTTATATTTATGTATACACAGCATATAATGCTAACCTGGTATCTTGAAAAATAGTGGATATGAGATATAATACAAATAGTGGAATCAGATCTAACTGCTTTTTGTTGTTGCCCTTTTTAAACACATAATATCATGTGGAAATATTCACTTGTTCTAAGAACTGCTTGAATACAGCAGTGTTTCTAAATAATCCTCACCCCTATGGCCATCAGTTAACTCACTTATTCCAGAACACACAGCTGGCAGACTTTCTTAAAAAACACAAATGTAATTTATTTAAATACTTTTCTTGACTTCTAATTGCCTGTATATTAAAACACACACTGGTACCCCGTCACATAGAAAGTCATTTTAGCTGCCCTTTTAATTTTAGGTTCTCTTGGTCCTCATGCCACAGTTTTTCAGGACTTTTTTCATGACTGAAGCAACAATGACCTTGTGATAATCTAGATTTTACACATGTTCTTTCCTCTTCCTGGAGCTAAAAACCTCACCTCCATCTTCAAGGAGCATTTTAAAGCTCTCTTTTTTTTTTGTAAGGCCTCCTCCAGCATCCTCAGACATAATGAGTCTCTTCTGTGTTTTCACTACTTTGTCCATCAGCAATGTTAGAATATTCAATGTTGTAATTCCATAATCTGCTTAAATGGTGCTCTTTCTTCCTGTTAATCTCTGTAATATCAACCATATTTTTGACCATTAGTATCAAATATAAGTTTACTAAATGAATGAAAGAATATGTGAATGACTTGGTTGATTGAGGAGGCAAATATGGTGAACATATATAAGATATTTTTATAGGAAAATGTGTCAAATGTACTTTCTCTGTTTTGCTGTTGCTTATGTTCTTTTCTTCCCATCACTTAAAAAGCTAGAGAAACTATTGCTTTCACCAACATTTTCTCAAATGCCTGAAAAATCACCAAATATATGAGTCATATTTTTCAGGCAATACTCTAGGAGCAAATCAATATAGTATAATATTAAGGGATTTTCTAAGATTATATATTTTCTGTTATATTCTTATAATTTACTTATTCATCTCTGTAAATACTATACACTTATTCTTATGGGTAATTTTGTTTGATCATTAAATAGCTATTTGGATATCTGTAACTTTTAGCATATACTTTAATTATAATGATAATAATAACAATAAAATATTTACAGTGTTAAATATAACTTTTTAAAAGGTTCCTGTGGCAACCATGAATTGATTTTTTTAAACAAATATTTTATGGTCCTTATAAACCTCACACCTATTTTCCAGTACTATCTAACACAAATTTTCCAATACTACAATAACTTTCATAGAACATTATCAGAATTAATCACATCTTTATCTCTGTTCATACTAATCATAAGAAGTTCAAGACCGAGGTTTATCCTTTAGTACTTAGATTCTCAATGCCATAAGACAATCTAACTCCATCTCCAAACACTTTCCAACTTCTGAAACCTTTTCAACAAATCGCTAGAACTCAGACTATATGGCAAGCTTGATTCTCAATGCCATAAGAAAATCTAACTCCATCTCCTAACCCTTTCCAACTTCTGAAACCTTTTCAACAAATCTCTAGAACTCAGACTACGTGATAAGCAAAATACTTGATATCATTTACTTCTTCAGTCAACATTCCCTCATCTTGTTAATCTACCTGTAATATGACTTTCTCAGAGGATGGTGTTCACGCCAGTATCAGTTAGTTTGGTCTGGAAAACAGAAATTACTCTAGAATTCAAAGTAAAAAGGCGTTAACAAAGGAAATTAAAGACTTGCCTGTCTGCTAGAAGAGTAGAGTTTATGATGGTCAGGGAATATTCTGCTACAATTTATGAAATCAATAAATGCCTACACCACCGCTTAGTCACCACCAATCATCTCAGCAGCCTACAACACCATAGAAGGTGATCTCCAGGAGCACTCCCAGAAGCTGCTGAAAACCATTTTCTGTCCATTCATATGTCTGCCTGTAGGTGTCCCAGAGAACAACAGCTTCTCCGTTTCCACCATTCGCATCTTAGAGGCCAAGTACATCGATCGTCTCAAAACCTTTTCCATATAGATAATAGCATGGCCATTCTTCCAGTTGCTTAGAACAAAAATTTTAGAATCTTCTATGACTTTTTTCTTCTCATATTGCATGCCTGATCAGAAAGCTCTCGTGCCTCTTCCTTAAGAAATGTTTTCAATCTGACCAGTTTTCTAGCTCTATCACTATGACTCTGAACAATGTCACAATCATCTTTATCCAGGATAGAAGTAAAGGTCTCCTAGCTGATCATTTGCTTCCATCTTTGACCCCAGATCATCTACTGGATAGTATTTAAAAAACTGTTGTAATTCTCCATAAGGGAAATATATTATATAATATTCTGTAATGTACCTGAAGATGGATATTCATATTTTAATATTCTGGACCAAATTTTGACATCATTGATCTACAAATATTACATTGAACATCTTCAAGACACCTTGATCTAAAAAAATTGTCATTTTTCTTGTTATTTTGTATTTAAGTGGGAGAAAGATGTATGTTTACATAGAATAAGAATCAACTGAATTTGGAAAGATTATAGATATAAGAGAGACAAGATAATTGGATAAATATATTCTAGAGGAATTTGAAAGACTAAGAATCAAGAAAAACTAAAGGATTTACTATTTCAAGGGGGGAAACATGTATTCTGAGACAAAAGGGAGAAAAATTAGACATTGAGAGTGTGGTCAGACTTTATTATACTCTAATTGTGAGCTGTGTGTTAGCATAAATTATTCAAATACTGTGTCTCAAAATTCTTGTTATTTATCATTTTTAAACAAACACTAATCCATCATTTGTCATGTATTGTCATGCTGCTATACACTGAAGATATCATGGAGAAAATGTAGCAAGGGTACATTAATTCATCTTATGATCTTATTGTACTGGGTCCAAAAGAATTACCATGCAAATATGTTGAGAACTATGATGAGAGAAGCACAGGGTGTTGTGTTATGGAGGCAATAAGGGAGGTGTATAGAACAGGTGGTAGAGGTCAGGACAGCACTCTTGAAAGACTTGCAAGAAGCAAATAGACTTAACAAACAGAGTTTGACTTGGAAAGGATATATTGGTGTGAAGGTAAATAATAGTGTTCAGGCAAATCTAACAGTATATTCAAAGGCCTAGAAGAAAGAGTTGTCGGTGACTTAAAAAATATGTTGGGACGGGATCATACAGTATGTCAGAGAATTAAGTGGAAAAAGATCATGTTGGAGTAGTAGGTAGGCACTAGGTGAAAAGACTATAAATCAGTGTTTCTCAAAATTTATGTGCACAGCAATCATCTGGGATCTCGTTAAAACCTAGATTCCTATTCAGTAGATCTTGAATGGAGCACTAATATCTAACAAGCTTTGCAAGTAATGCCAGTGCTGCTGGTCCACTTGTAATTCTTTAAGCAGGAAAGATTTAAATCATATTCCAGTCTTATATCTATTCTTATGGGGACTCAGGAATAAGCTTAAATAGAAAGGTAATTTGATCAAATTTATGTTTTCACAAGATCCTTCTCATTCTTTGCGAATATTAGATTAGAAAGTGAAAGTTCTGGAGATAAGAAGACATATAAAAATGTAATAATAATGTTCAAAATTGTAGGGTAAACTTGGAAAATTAAACTGGGGACAATGAGATACATTTAGGAACTAGAATCAAGAGGAAATGATGATAAATTAAATGCATGTTGAGAGAGGAAGGGAGGCATCAGGTATGATGCCCAAGTTTATGGTTAGTAAACGTATGCATAGTGGTGATAATGATGATGTTGGTAATGAAACAGCTAAAACTTATTCAATATCTACTATATACAAGGAACTACATTATTTAATTCATAAAAACATGAAAATGTATTATTATATCCCCACTTTATTGGTGAGAAATCTGAAGCATGAGTTAAAAAATTCAGAATTAGTGAAGTACAAAACAAATTTTCAGAAAAAAATGATTATTATTATCATTTATATTATTGATATTATTATTCAAGTGTGTCTGGAGTTGGAAAATAAAATTATTGAAGGAATCCTTTCATGACAATAATTATTTTTTCTTTGTGTTGTGAGAGGCAATGTCACACCCTGACAGGGAGTTAGGATTAGGTAAGAAATGCTTGAAAGTGGAGAAAATTGGATATCTATTATCAAGAGAGGGAAAAAACCTGATTATAAATAAACAAAGGCACTGAAAAGTAGCACCAAGAGCCCACCAGGCCAGTCTTTGTGAATTTTTAAAAAATTAATTAGATTTCTTCTACAGATGTCAGTAGACCTATGGTAGAAACAGAGAAAATGAGGGGATGCTTTTATCCGAGGTTGAGACAGCTCCTGGTGAGACCTCAGAGGTTGAGACAGCTCCTGGTGAGACCTCAGAGAGATTTTTGATCATGGAAGAAGGTGAAAGGGGAGCAGGCATGTCAGATGACAAAAGTAGAAGCAAAAGAGAGAGAGTGAGGTGGGAGGTGCCATACACTTTTAAATGACCATATCTCATAAGAACTCACTATCATGAAGACAGCACCAAGCCATAGGGTATCCACTCCTGTGATCAAAACATTTCCCACCAGGTCCTACCTCCAGCATTGAAGATTAAAATTTAACATGAGATTTAGGTGGGACCGAATATCCAAACTATGTCAGCCAGCAAACAAAATTAATCAGCTAGAGTTCTTTGACCTCCAACACTCTCTGGCCTGGAGCTTATTCCTTTCTTTCTTTTAAAACTCAAAGAGATTAATAAAGACTAAAGATTATGATCCTTCTGTAATATACATTATCAGACAGAGTAACCAATACTCAGCCTTTATCACCCTGAAATATGGAACATGGACTTACAAGCATGAGACATACGTGGGTTTATATACTGAGACATTAAAACATTTTGAAACTCTAAATGTATACTTTTCAAAGCAGATGAAGTAATAATTTAAAATAGGTGTGATAAATATGCTTAAAGACATAAGAAAACATATTAACAATTGGAAATAAGAAAAAATTAATTAGTAAAAGTTAGAAAAAATATTAAAAATAAATATTAAGAAGAAAGGTTATAGAATGATAAAATAGTGTCTCAGATTGTGTTCTCCAGGAAGAAGACAATGAAATGGAGGTAGGAGTGCAAAAGGTTTATTAAAGAGTAACAAGTGTGAAAGTGTAAGGGAAAGAAGCAAAATTGCACAGGGGGAGCCATCAGACCATGCAACAGACATGACTATGGTCTCTGTCAGTCCACTGAGGAGCTTGTAGATAAACACTGGCCATGTGAGAAATACCACTTCAGATGGAAATATTTAAGTCCTTAGGCCACAGCCTTTCTTTGTTATAGGCTAGAGACAGCTCCAACGAGAGCAAGCCCGATAGCTGAGACCTATTCTAAATAAATTAATAGCTAGGGGCTCTCAGATAACCCCACTCTTCAGTTCTTTGCAAGTATCACTCATTGTTTTCTGACAGTGTGGCAATTGAAGACTAACATCAGTCAAGACTCTGGTTCCATTTTGATGATTTTTGCTTTTACCTGGAAGCTTTTATAATTGTTTCAGATTGATATCTTAAATTTCATGAAAATATGTTAAAGTACATATTTATGGTTGTCAATCTTCAATTTGATGTATTATAAAACATTTCAATATAAGGTCTTTCATGTTATATTGTTGGAACATTTTCTTCATTATTTCTTCAAATATTTTCTCTCCTCTCTTCAAGATGTCTCCCTCACATAGTTGGCAAGTTGGAAGCAGGTGTTGTCAGTGAGCTCAACTTGGGTTGTTAGCTGGGCATTGATTCTTCTTCACATGGGCTGTTGGAACCTGCTCATTGTATCACTGGGAGCAATGTGGGTTCCAGAAATGTGGAATAATTATGCCAGCCATCTTAAAGTTCAAAGTGAGAACTGGCTTAGGTTACCTTCCATCAATTTGAATGCTATTAGTCAAAGGAATGAAAAACCCAACCTCAGTGCAAGGGGTTGCACTTCACATCTCTGTTATGAACTGCTTTTATTTTGTGTGACTTAGATTGGGTAAAATAAATGATTGGGTAGGAGACAGAATATATATTTTACTTACATAATACATTTTAGATTTTGGTCAACTATTATTTTGCCTTAACAATGTAAGTAACAGAAATGTCAAATACAAATATCTTTTTTGGTTCATTTCCCTGAATCTTCTGGCAACTACTTCCTTCAGTTGTTCTTACTATCTGATGAATATCTATTCCTAGGCTAAATTGACAGAATTTTATTTATTTATTCTTTTTCTTTCACAAGTGAGAGGAATTAGATAGACAGACAGATAGATAATAGATATAGATTAGATAGATAGATGATAGACAGATGATAGATAGATAGGTGTTCAGTCGCATGTTCAGGTAAAATGATATTCTACTCTTGTATTTTTGACTCATCTTTCACAAATAACTGGAGTAGGAGCCTAATACTTTTTTCTTCTCGCCAAATGAGTGTAATGTTGAAATGAAAGGATCAAGAAGCATTTAATATTTTTATTTATTTATTTATTTATTTATTTATTTATTTATTTATTTATATTTATTGAGATAGGGTCTCACTCCCATCACCAGCACTGGAGTGCAGTGGTACCATTATGGCTTACTGCAGCCTCAACTTTCAGGACTCAGGTGATTCTGCCATAGGCTGGTGTTGAACTCCTGGGATCAAGCTATCCGCCTCTCTGAGTCTTCCAAAATGCTGAGATTACAGGTGTGAGCCACTGAGCCTGGCATCGTTTAATATTTTGACATAGCTTTAGTTTTGAAATGGTTTATTTCCACCTGATTCAAGCATTCACTCTTCCTTACTTGTTCTGTTCTCCTTTAGTCCACTGATTGAACTCACTAGTGAAAACTATTTCTCAGTTGGTGTATAAAAAGAAAGCTTATTTATTTATTTTTATTTCTTCAACTTATTTCTTCAAGTTGAAGAAAGATTCTCCGTGAGACGATTTTAATGTTTTAGATTATTTTGCTTTATGTTTTTATGAAAAATGACTGGATATGTTTATTTATGGGGTGACACAGTGAAATTGTGACATGACTTTTTCCTCCAAACAAGCTACTAATATATCTTACATCTCATTTCAGTATGTTTATATTTTATTGCAAAAAAGTTTTAAAAGATGCAAATGTGTGCCATATGCTTCTTTCCCATTCAGAAATACAATTTCATTTTATTACTAACTTTCAAATGAGCTCATCATCTTTCCTTACACAAAGTGATAGGAAAAAGTCTTTTCTGAGATTAGAGTTGATTCTACAAAGGGCACTCTATTTCCTAATCTGATGTGAGAAGCAAATTATTAAATACTCAAAATATGTGGATATGTAGCTATTTGGATGGTACATTAAATATGTACATAATCATACACTGTTCTCTGCTTTCTTTGATGTCATGCATACATTTTTTTCTCTAACAGTCCTCCATAAAATGCAAATGTTTCCCATTATAAAGCAACTGTTCTTTCCTTCTTTCAGAGAATATCTTCTTTTGTATCATTCACTTATATATAAAGTAAAAGTAAAAAGCAGCTACTTTCACATATATGAAAGTAAATAACAAGGATAAATGTCTCTCCCACTTGAGTCAACTGATTGTTATAATTGTAGTTCATTTGTTCATAAATAACTACGGATGATTTATAAAATTAAAAATATATTTACTCACTTCTGGAAATGGGATATTTCTAAAAACATTAATAGCATAATAAATCAGATAGCTTCTCTAAATATATGTGTAATTGGATGCAGAAATGATAGGATTTCTATCTTATGTATGACTATAAAAAGAAATATTTAGATAAAAATATTGTTTAAAATAATTTTCATTTGTAATATTTACATATGTATGTGTGTTTGTGTATATGTATGTGTGTGTGCATATATATATATATATATATATATATATATATATATATATATATATATAAAAATATCTGGATGCTTCTAACCAATTCCAATACTGAAAATTAGAAAATATACAGTTTTAGGCTATAAAATACCAAGTAATATTTATGTTTATTGACTACTTTTCTTATGAACTGTGATTTCATTTACACTTTTCACTATATTAAAAGAAAAACTTAAAATGTAGCCAATTTTGTAGTCAATGGAACAAAATCTTTGTGCAGTTGCTCCGCCTATATACAGAATTGAATAATTTATGTATTGTACCTCCTTTGGTTCTTGCTCAACCAACAGACTCTTAAGTGATGTGTATTAAACAGGTCCCCTTTACTCAGCACTATGCAATGGAGGATACTAAAGAAGACACTGTTTCTGTCTTTAGAGAGCTTATCATTTAATGGGGAAGAAAAGAAACAAAAAGTAATGAGAAAGCACTTTAAGTGCTCAGGAATTTGGTGCTTAATATAAATACACTAGCAATTCAGAAAAAAGAAAGATTGATGTGGATCAGGAGTATAAGAGTCAGTCAAGGGCACAAAAGATATTGTGTTGAACTTACTACTCTTACCTTTATTTCTCTTATCTCCTTATCCTATTCACATTATGTCCATTCTTCATTATCAAAATCAACTCAGAGTTCTTATTTGAAATCAATCTGGATTAGGTCTCTCCACTTCTCTTATCTGAGCTCCTGTTTTACTAACCATGTTTGTATTTATTGCCACATATATGATCATTTCCTGTATGAAAAATTATTTTATTTACATATGTGTTTTAGCACATATCCTCAGTAATTTTCAGAAAGTCTTTTTCTTTTTTTTCTTTTGAGGCAGGGTCTAACTCTGTCACCTAGGTTGGAGTGCAGTGGCACAATCTCAGCTCACGGCAACCTCTGCCGCAGACTCCCAAGTAGCTGGGATTACAGGTATGCACCACCACACTAGGCTAATTTTTGTACTATTTTGTAGAGACAGGGTTTCACCGTGTGACTCAGTTTGGTCTCAAACTCCTGGGTGCAAGTGATCCTCCTGCTTGGGCCTCCCAAAGTGCCAGAATTACAGGCGTGAGCCACTGCGCCCTATCTAACCTTCATATGTTAAAGATGGTTCTACATTTTATATTTCTCCATTGCCCCCCAGGAAGTTTGTGTCTATTTACACTTCCACCAACCAGTGACTATTTTCCATTTACTATTTCTTATATATTTGTCAATAGTGGGAAGGAAGCATGATTAATCCTTGCTGATTTTAAAGAAAAATAATACTTAGTTTTTGAAATTATTTGATTATTAGTAAGGTTAAATATTCAGCCAATATGCTTATTAGTGTTTTCACTTTGTAGAAGACTCTTTTTGTGTATTTCACATACTTTTTACTCAGTGTGCATGTCTTTTCCTTAAAATTCAAATATATTTAATTAATGTGTTCCTATAATTCCTTAGTTTTTTAGTTTAATAATAATTGGTCTCTTAAAATTTAACCTTCTGCTAACATTCATGTAGTTTTAATTGTATTCCCAGGGGGAAAAAAAGCACTGTTTTTTTAAGGTATGCTTTTACTTTTCTTATCTTTCTTGATAGTATAACTATGTAATCAATGAGCATATATTAGATGCTGGACAAATATTTCTTGAACAAATATTGGAAATCAATGATCCTGTTTACTGATTACATCAGCTAGCTAAAGGTCACATTTAATTGAATTTAAGTCTTTTTCCTATTGTTTTATGGAAATCTTGACCTAAGGAGTAAAAAATATTTTCAGTCATCTTGGGACAATCGCAATTGATAAAATATACTGAGTTATTTATTTTCATAACTCAAAAATTAGTCATTATTAAATAAAAATTGACATTTTCTGTACAAACAGAAGAATAAAAATTAGATAACAATTTGCATACATGGTGTGGTGGTTTTTAAATATGTTTTCAAATTCAGGTAGAATCAAGGTTTCCTCCCCTTGAACTAGGGCTGGTCTTTATGACTGCTTCAAGGAATAGGATGTGATGGAAGTGATACTGTGTGACTTCCAAGGACGGATTTTTTAAAAGCCATGCAGCTTCAATCAATTTCTCTTGGAACATTTGTTCTGACTGCCTTCAGCCTTCATGTAAAAAGTGTGACTACATGGTGAGAGAGAGACCTACATTTTAAGTGTCAGATATGTCAGTGAAGAATACTTAGAAATGACTCCCGCCTCAGACTTTATCTGACTACAATCCGGTGAGAGACCCCACATGAGAAATGCCCACAGCCCAGGCAAGCCACAGAATTGACAGCAAAAGAAGTACTCACATGAGGTGTTTAAGGTACTCACATGAGGTGTTTTTTTCCCCTAGTAATAGGTAATCAAACACATGGCAAATGGCTTCCTAAGATGAAACAATTTAAGTGTTGCCATTGTGTATTCTACTGAAATGTCTATGTCTGAAGGATCAAAAGCCATCTTACGACATATTGTTTTACTTGTATCAAAAGTAACTAAAAAGTAGACTTATACCCAATTCTGGAGTAAGGTGGGGAAAATTAAACCAACTGTACTTCAATTAAGCTTTTAAAGTTTTATAATTTATACTAAATTGTCGAAAGTAACTACCATCTATACTTTTGTCATATTTTAAATATTCGGTCTCTTTCAAATGAGAATTTCATTTGAAGTAAATACAGTTGGCTCTCTCTATTTATGGGATCAGCATCTGTGTATTCAATCAACTGCAGATTGAAAATATTCAGAAAAAAGTATTCACAAAGTTTCAGAAGCAAAACTTGAATTTTCTGTGAACTGAGTACTACAATGTATCCACACAAATGAAGAGATGTGTATGCATTGTGTTAGATATTATGAGTAATTTAGGGATGATTTAAAGTCTGTGTAATGATATGTGTTGTTTACATGGAAATAATACACCACTTTAAATGAGAGACTTGAGCATCCATGAATTTGGGTCTCCATTGGAAGTCCTGAAACTAATCCTCCCATAAATACTGAGGGATGACTATATATAGAAATAGGCATATTCATTCAGAAAGGAAATAGAAAACTAATTGTCAAGAGCTAAAACCACATTCAGTACAAATGATGTTCTTTGAATCAAATTTATATAGAAATAAAAATAAAACTGTAGTTAACTAATTTTTTAATTATAAAAAGCCTTTGTCTTTCTTTTCTGTAACATATATATATATACATAAAGATGGGAATAGAAAATAAACACAGCAGAATTCAAGTATACCACATATTCCAGGCTTGGGTGTAACAAGGTAAAAATATCAACTAAAAAAATCAGTAATTACTTTGAGTTTTTCCTAGTTTCTCCCATTCTCCTGATGTGTAAAATTGATCATGGTTTAGGATTTAGTTTATATGTGGCTTTTCTCCTATTACTGTACAGTTCCTGACCACACAGGCCAAAGAGGCTTATAAGTGTTTGCTAAAGAATGCTTTCCTGTACTCTACAGTCACATTTAATCTGGCATACAAATATGTCCTTATGTACAGCAGCATAAATGAAGAAGTAATGGAAGATATTTATAATTAATGTTCTTTGCTTTGCTTAGTTAATCTTACAATGAATCCATTGTCAATTATAACTGACTGCAGAAAGAATTACAGTCAGGGAACTTTAAAAAAAAAAGAAACAAAGTGAGCATTTACTTTTCTTTATCCCTTTTCTCCTTATTACATGTACTTTTAATCAGTTTCTCTGTAATGAGAACATTTAAAGGTTGAATTAGAGTTTATGAACCTATGAGAAAGAGGGTTTTGAAAGGGATAAAAATTCAAAATATATTTGGTAGGAAGAATCAAATGATACAAAGTTCAGTGACAGGGTAAGACAGATGAAAAAATCCAGATAAGAACTTTTAGGCTGGGTGCGATGGCTCATGCGGATAATCCCAGAACTTTGGGAGGCCAAGGTGGGTGGATCACCTGAGATCAAGAGTTCGAGACCAGCCTGATCAATATGGTGAAACCCCATCTCTGCTAAAAACACAAAATTAGCTGGGTGTGGTGGCACATGCCTGTAATCCTAGCTGTTTGGAGGCTAAGGCAGGAGAATCGCTTGAACCTGGGAGACAGAGGTTGCAGTAAGCTCCAGCCTGGGCAACAAGAGTGAAACTCCATCTCAATAAAAAAACTTTTTTAGAAAAGTATAAGTGCAAAATATAAAAAGAATCATTTTAAGTAATAACCAGTAAAAGGAGATAAATTTGAAGATGAAAACAACATTTTGTGGAATTTTTTCGTCCTCCAATTTTCATCTCTTTCATGAATTCAAAACAACATGATCAAAACCATTGTCTACATCTGTCACACCAGGCACACTACTGTCTCTTCAGATGCAGGTTCTTTATTCCTCACTAAATGATCTTCATACATTCTTGTTGCTAAGAAATCACAAAGAAACTCACATGCTTTCTCTCTAGGCCAAACAGCTCTTTGCTGTTTCTCTAAATCCTGCATTTCAAATTCCAAGCCATGCAATCCTAAAATATTATACTCCTTTTGATTATGCCATTTAATTAGGCCTTGCATAGATAATTTTATATTTTATGAGAACTTTCTAGGCTTTGGTTTTTTCATTGGTAAAATGAAAATAAGACAAAGGATTTTAATGAAAACATAGTACTTATATAGTATATAAATATAGTAAGTTCTATATCAATGTTATTTTTAACATAATATTAATCTTGTATAGCCATTTATATTTTAAGTATATGTCCTCCTTCAGCAAATATGTTATTGAATTTTGTTGTGTTTCCAGCATATTTCTCATGAAATATGTTCAATAATAATTTACTGTCATTTTCCATGTCCAATTATATGTTCCCTATTTTTAAGGGATCTATTTGGTTCTATTTTGAGCTTTGTCTCTCTTATCTCTCTGTATTATACCAAGGAACTATGATACAAAAGATCATCAAGCTGAATCTCAAAGTTGCACTCCAGCTATATAATAACCAACAAAGCAATTTCCTTCGCATCTAATTTTGTCTCCGTGTCTACAATCATGTCTTATTGTTCAGACTTTTACATGCTCAATTCTAGAATAAGCAAAATCTCACAAATTAATGTTAGCTCCACAGAATTCTAGTTTAATCATTTGTAGCTAAATTCAGACTATAAGCATGTATTACCTTTTTCTTCTTAGAAGGAGAACTGGTAATTGATGTGGGGCCAAACAGCACAGTACAGCAGAAAGGATCTAAATTTGGGAATTATACTGAGGTATGTTATTTTTTCATATATAGCTTTTTTGTCATGTAACCTCAGGAGAAGTACTCAGACTCTTTGAGTCTTATTTAACACATTATTGTAATAAAATATTTCAAATTTGATCATTATTGTGAATACTACTGTGCTAAAGGATTTTTAATGGTATCTGAAAAAACCTAGGCTCCCAAGATATGCATGAGTTCCCTTTCTTCACCTGGGTAGCTATTACAAAAACACATTGGCATTGCTTGTAATGGAATTTCTGCTTTTCTGGAATACAATAGGCCCAAGGAGATTTACATAGTGCTAAGTAACCAGATATGAAAATAATTGAATTGCTTTCATTCCATCTTCTTTCTAGGTACCTAGAAAGCAAGCAGAATACTCTTAGCCAAGAAAACAATATGTACTCATGTTACTACATGAGTACATAAGGAACATGGTCTAGAATTGGAAATAAACTCATGAACACCACACACAGTGTTAAAGCCAGCCCAAATAAATATAGAATAGTTAAAAAACTAAAATCATATTTTTTTCAGAGTCATTACAATTTCCAACTTTTGTGTGACTGTATATTTTTAATCATAATGTAGTTTTTTTCAATATGAAAGAAGATATATAGAAAGACTATTTGCTGAACTTGTTCCAATACTTTAATTTCAAAATAAGTCTAGGTATTTTAAATGGTTATATAAAATTGAAAACGTTTATATTATGTCTCAGAAATGTTCATAGCCTTGGAGGCAACTTATTTGTTTTCTTAATATGAGAAAATGCTCAAGTAAATTATGCTTTAAGTATTTGTGTACAAACAATAAGATCATATCTGGGACCCCAGTCAAATTTCTTTGGCTACAGATATTCATTCAAGATAGTTTGGATGTTAGTGACTCATGCTTTATTGCTTTTTAAATGGTTACTTAATATAAGCTGCTTTCAATGTTTCTTGAATTCCCTATCTTCTTTACAGCTTAATCTTTATGTTTTATCAAGCATGTATATAAAATACTGGTTATCCAAGGATTACTTTACAAAATATATAAATTGTATACTTTAAAACTTTTACTTTTAAAACTTAAGAAAGTTTATGTGTGTACACTTTTCTTAGAAAATGTGTATGTTATCTTTTAGAGCAATTTATCAATAAATTAATTTCCTTTTTATACAGATTCAGACCTGTTAAATACCATAGATTGTCTTTATTATTTAAGGATTATTAAATAGTAAATATGATTAAGTATAAAATTTTCTTCAGACTCTATTCCTGACTACATGAGGAGGAGAAAGGGAAATTTGGAACCTGAATTCTGAATCTTCTTATAATTCCACTCTTCATTTCATTTTGTCTTATTTAGTATTGACATTATATTATCTCAAATCAGTTTAATCATAAAATTAATGTGGAAAAATATTGAATAGCTCCTCATTAGCAAATAAAACCAATTATTTATCCCAAGCCAGACTTGCCACAGAAAAAGTAATGGCTAGGTTGGTTCATATCCCTAAATAAAGATTTTCAATTTCCTTCATGCCTGGTATAGTAGTATGTCTAATCAATTTTTAAGAACATAAAAGACAAACGCTGGGAGCTATACACTGAATGTTTGTGTCCCCCCAAATTTCATATGCTGAAATTCTAAACCTCAAGGTGACGGTGTCAGAAGGTAGGACCTTTGAAGGTAATTAGTGCTTTTATGAAAAGAACCCCAGAGCTCCCTTGTCACTTGTATGATGTGAGGTTACAGTGAGAAAATTATAGCCTATAAGCCAGAAAATCGGCCCTCCCCTGACACGGAGTCTGTCAGTGCCTTAATCTTGGATTCCAGCCTCCACAACTGTGAGAAACACATTTCTGTCACTTAATAGTTACCCAGTCTGTGATATTTTGTTATAACAGCCTGAATGGACTAAGATAACAGGAAATTTTGTGTGAAATAAAGGGGCTACTATTTGTAAAATAAAAGAAAGTGAGCCTGGCACACATAGTGTTACATGTTTCGAGATTAAAAGTAAAATATCTCTTCAAATAGATGATGATCACTACTTTCCAGACAGTAAAGATAATTATTAAAAATTACTTAAAATTTTTTTTGATTAATACTTTAGAGGTCCCTGGGACAGGGCGATTATGCTCTTGACTGCAATTATTTCTTTACTAGGGACTTATCTGTCAGCAGCCATAGCTGAAGTGGGCAATTACCCCCATTAACCTCCACCAATGTTTATCAGTATTGTTGTGCTAAAACATGGTTGAGGAATCCATTCAACTAAATATAAATATACATGGTCATCAATTTGACAGTTTATTTACAGATAAAAGTAATATTTTACAGACTTTTCTTAATCCTTTAAATCATTTTTAACAAATCTTATTTATAAAATGAATAAATTATTACAGGCAAATTTAAAGCCCCTTCCAATATTATGGATGTGACACATGTGCAAGTTCATTTTTTCCCACAGTGTTCCTTATGTCATTAATTACAGAAAATATTGCCTTTTTCTACTACTCATACTATGATGCGATACTCTTTCCACCAAGTAATTGATGGGACAATTTGTTTTAGAGATCTAGTGTAGACATATAGTAATTGCTGCCTGTTTCTAGATGATAAGTTCCATGAAGCTCCATGCCTATATTGCTCACCATAGTATTCTCAGTGCTTATTACACTGCCTAGCACATAACCAGAGCACACCAAATATGTGACAAATGAATTAATGAATATTTTCCCTGTTCTCACCTGCGACTCAAATTTTCCAAAGAAATCTTTGTTTCCCTGGGAGTTAGAAAAAATATTTTCTTTCACTAATCATTGTCATTTAATTTTTAGTCCACTTTAGTAATGTTCAGTCCCCAAAGCCATCTTTCTCCCTTGTCTTATGTATTTCCCTAAAGACCTGCCTTTTGATAGGTAATCAGTGCCTGTCTCTAATCACTTTGTATCTCTAAACTCTAATTCTCTTTTTTATTGGCAACTCTCATTTATTAGCGACAACAATAGAGAGGAGGAGACAAATACATTAAATTGACATATAAATTACAGATATACAATTTAAACGATTGTTTGAATCAAAAATCTTGAGATTCCCATATTTTGCCATTCATCTTGTTAGAAGTGTGACTGAGAAAGGAAAGGATAAGAAGCCTGACATAAAGAGTTTACAGAAATATTGAGAGGTTGACTTTGATTATGATGTTAAGATGATCTTGACATTTTTGTTCACTCATGCATTTTCATCTATGTCTCATGTAACATTGTGGGAATTACAGTAGTTGATTATCAAAAACACATAGATGCTCCATATGGACAGTGATGCAAATAGTCTGTGTGGAGCTAAACCATCACACATCATGACTGAAACCTTGGCAATAAATGGGGGAAGATGAATACCATAAGACAATGGGATTACTTGTCACTGAGAAAAGTGTTATCAAAACTAAACATACCAAAACGTTATATGTTCTAATTATTTTTGTTAGATTTTCCATTTGTCAAAAATGAGGAGTACTAATCAGTAGTGCTATGGAAACAAGACACTAACAGTTATAGTCCGGAAGAAGAGATGATAACATCTGTCCCTAAAAAGAGGTAAATTCATTTTAAAATGACTGCTTACGATTATTACTTGTTATGGTTTTGATTAATTTATCAAAGAACTCAGATGATGTTATAACACCTGCTACCAGAATTCCTCTCAGGGCAGGATAATCTTGGTTTGCCGAAATACTTTTTTAGCCACTTGGGAGAGAAGTTGAAATTTGAAGAGCATTGTCTTGGTAGAAATCTCTTAAAGAATACAATGATTAAACTGGCTTGCAGGAGAAATCCAGAAGAAGTTTATTTTCTTCCTGTGAAGGAATGAGAGAAAAATTAAAAGTAATGTAGAAAAAAGAAAGGGATAATAAAGGAACTAGATATATGGAATGGGTTAAGAGAAATACAGAGAAAGCCCATTGAAAAAACAAGGTGGTGTAATAGAAAAAACTTTATTTTAAGCAAAGACGCATATAATTTTTAAGATTCTGTTTTGGGCTGAACATCAGCAAAATGGTAGAATAGGGTTTTCCACTCCTTGTCCTACTGCATAAACATCAACTTGAACAACTATCTGAAACACACACAAAAAAACCATCACAGAGCTAAGGAAACCAGAAGAGAAATTATAGCACCTGAGTGTAGCACAGAAATAAGAAAAAAATGCATCAAAGAGGATAGAAAGGACAGTCATGCGTTACTTGCATCACTCCTTTCTCACCTCCAGGCAGCACAGCATGGAGAGAGATACTTCTGCTTGGGTGAAGGAGAAAACAGTGAGTACAAGACTTTGCCTCAGATCCCAACACTCAGTGTTGGGCAGCACCCATGACCCCAGACTTCAGGCCAATACCTACTGACTAAGCCTCTGGGTTGGTTCCAATGCCAGGCCAGATCCCACAACTCCAGACTCCAGGCTTGTTCAGCATACTTGGTCTCTGGGCCCACAGCAACACCAGGCCAAACCCAATGGCACCAGAGGACCCAGCCTCCAGACTGACCCCTTTGGATACATGTTCTAGGCTGATCCAGCATCAGGCCAGCCCCTGTGATCCTTGGCTCCAGGCTCACCTCAAGTTCCAACTCAGCTCTGACATATGTCAACCCATATAGCCCCAGGCCTCAGGCCCATGCCAGTGCCAGATAAACACCCCTAGCCTCAGGCACCAGACTGGCACCTGTAGATACAGGCTCGAGGCTTGCACAATGCTAGGCTAGTCCTTGCAGTTCCACACTCTAGGCCAGCCCCTGTGACCCCATGCTCCAACAGAACTAGGGTACAGGCTTTCTCTAGAAGACCCAGGATCCAGGTTTGCCCCAGTAGACTTTTACTAGGATATCTCCCACGGACTCAGGCTCTAGGACTGCCTCCTGTGGATCAGGTTCCAAGTCCACCTCCACAACCCTAGAACCAAGGCCAGACTTTGCAGGCCTAGCTTCCGAACCAACTACTGCACAACCAGCCTCTCTAAACCAAGGCTCTAGGCATTAGGATAGCACCTATGATGCCAGGCTCCACAGTAGCCCTTATGGGTCCATTTTCCATGTCTGTCCCAGTACCAGGCTGCACCTAGGCTCCAGGCCAGTCTTCATGGCCTCAGACTCCAGAGGATCCAAAGTCCAGTACTACTCTGGCATATCTAGACTACAGGCCCGCCCCAGTAGACCCTGGTGTCAGGCCAACTACCAGAGAGAGACTGAAGCTCCAATGCCACCCCCACAGGCCCAGGATCCAAGCCAGGCCAACCCCCATGGGCCCAGAACCCAGATCTTCCTGAACAGACTCAGGCTCCAGGCCTACTTCAGCACCAGGTCAGCCTGTGAACTCAAGCTTCAGGCTTGACCCACTGGACCCAAGCACCAGGATAATTCTAGCACCTGACTGACCTCTATAGACTCAAGCTCAAGGTCAGTCCCAGAGTCAAGTTAACTGCTGTGGATTTAAGCTTTAGGATGGCCCCAGGAGATGAAGGCTCCAGGTCTACCCTCACATACTCTTGCTCCAGATATATCTCCACAAACCCAATCAAAATATCCACTCCAGTGAGTCCAGGTTCCAAACTCAACCCAGCTGACCCAGATAACAGGCCCACTCACCTGCTAAACCAAGCACCAGACCTGCCTATCTGAGGACCCCAGCAACAAGCCAGCCCATGAACCATGCCAGACAGCCTGCTCAGAATCTCTGGATGGGCTGATTGGTAAAGGGTTTTCGCAGACACAGTCAATCTGCAGAGATGGTAATAACTCCGAACTTCTACAATAAACAGACACCAATACTAAGCCACAAAAATTAAGACCAATCGGGAAACATAACACTACCAGAGAAACAAAATAAAACACGAGTAACTGACCTTAAAGAAATGGATATTTATGAGCTCCCCAATTTAAAAAGAAATTCAAAATAAATGGTTTACAAAAGCTCAGTGAAATTCAAGAAAATACAAAGAAGCAATTAAATAAAATCAGAAAAATAATAAACAACTAAAATTAGAACTTAGATACACTGAGTGGCGATTCCTTAGGGATCTAGAACTAGAAATACCATTTGACCCAGCCATCCCATTACTGGGTATATACCCAAAGGACTGTAAATCATGCTGCTATAAAGACACATGCACACGTATGTTTACTCCGGCACTATTCACAATAGCAAAGACTTGGAACCAACCCAAATGTCCAACAATGATAGACTGGATTAAGAAAATGTGGCACGTATACACCATGGAATACTATGCAGCCATAAAAAATGATGAGTTCATGTCCTTTGTAGGGACATGGATGAAATTGGAAATTATCATTCTCAGTAAACTATCGCAAGAACAAAAAACCAAACACCGCATATTCTCACTCATAGGTGGGAATTGAACAATGAGAACACATGGACACAGGAAGGGGAACATCACACTTTGGGGACTGTTGTAGGGTGGGGGGAGGGGGGAGGGATAGCATTAGGAGATATATCTAATGCTAAATGACGAGTTAATGGGTGCAGCACACCAGCATGGCACTTGTATACATATGTAACTAACCTGCACATTGTGCACATGTACCCTAAAACTTAAAGTATAATAATAATAAAATAAAATAATTAAAAAAAAATCTTCTGACAAATGAGGATGGACACACAACTATGAAAACTTATGCAATCTAGCAAAAGGAGCTCTAAAACAGAAGTTTGTAACATAAACCCCTACAGCAAAAAAACAAGGATATGAAATCAACACCCGAATCTTATAATTCAAAAAACAGCAAACTATAATCCTAAAGTTAGATGTTAAAAATTAATCAAGATCAGAACAGAAATGAATAGAGACTAGGAAAAACAACAGAAAATATCCACAAAATTAGATGTTGGTTTATTGACAAAAAAAAAAAAAAAAAAAAAACAAAGGAAGAAAAATAAAACTTCAGCTGGACAAAATAGGGGGAAAAAAAGAGAAAAGACACAAATAGACATTACAACTGATCCCACCAAAATCCAAAGGTTCATAAGAGATTATTAAGAACAATGATATGCCAAAAAACTGGATAAATTAGAAGAAATGGATAAATGCCTAGACATGTACAACCTAGCAGGTGTGAATCATGAAGAAACTGAAAATCTCAATAGACTAATAATAAGGAGATTTGATAATGAAACGAAAAGTCTCCCATCCAAGAAAGGCTCAGGATTTAATCACTTTTTACTGCTCAATTCTACCAAACATATTAAAAAGAGCTAGTATGAATCCTCAAATTTTTCCAAAAAGGGCATATTTCCAAACTCATTTTATGAGGTCAGCATTACCCTGACATCAAAGCCAGACAAGGACACTACAATAAAGAAATTTACAGAGCAATAATATCCCTGATCAACATAGATACATAAATCCTCAATAAAATACTACCAAACCTAATTCAACAGCACATTAAAAAAATCATTAATCATGATGAAGTTGGATTCATATTAGAGATGTAAGGATGCTTCAGCATGTGGAAATATAACTATGATAGACTAACAGGATAAAGGGCAAAGACCATATGATAATCTTAATACATGAAGAAAAAGAATTTGACATAATTCAACATCCTTTTAAATAAAAACTGCCAATAAATTAGGTATAGAAGGAATGAACCTCAACACAGTGAAGGTTATATATGACCACCCACATCTAAGATTATACTCAACTGAGAAAAGTTGAAAGCTTTTGCTTTAAGAACAGGACCAACATGAGGATGCCCACTCTTGCCACTTGAATTCACCATACTACTGGAAGTCCTAGCCAGAGCAATTGGGTATGAAAAAGAAATAAAATTTTCCAGACCAGACTGACCTACATGGAGAAACCCCATCTCTACTAAAAAAAAAGAAAAAAGAAATACAAAATTCGCTGGGCATGTATTACACCTGTAATCCCAACTACTCAGGAGTCTGAGGCAGGAGAATCACTTGAACTCGGGAGGCAGAGGTTGCAGTGAGCCAAGATCACAGCATTGCACCCGAGCCTGGGCAACAAGAGTGAAACTCCATCTCAAAAAAAAAAAAAATGTAACCAAGTAAAAGAGGAATAAATGATTTTTTTTCTGTTTGCAGGTGAAATAAACTTGCATATAGAAAATTCTATAAAAACTTTACCTAAAAACTATTAGAAGTAATAAATAAGTAATCTTGCCTGACCCAAAATCAATTCACAAAAAACAGCATTTCTATAAACTAACAAGAAATATCAAAAAAAAAAAAAGAAAGAAAGAAATAAAGAAAACAATTCCTTTTATAATAGCTGCAAAAGTAAAACCCTTAGGAATAAATTTAGCCAAGGAGTGAAAAGTCAGTACACTACAGACTAAAAATTATAAAAGTGATGAAAGAATTTGAAGAAGACATAAATAAATGGAAAGCTATCCCCTGTTCTGCAGCCAATAAATGTATGAAAAAGCTCAGCATCACTGATCATTAGACAAATGCAAATCAAAACCGCAATGAGATACCATCTCACACCAGTCAGAATGGTGATTATTAAAAAGTCAAAAAATAACAGATGCTGGCAAGGTTGTGGAAAAAGGGAACACTTATACACTTCTGGCGGAAATGTAAATTACTTCAACCATTGTGGAAAACAGTGTGGTGATTCCTCAAAGACATAAAAACAGATATATTAGTTGACCCAGCAATCCCGTTACTGGGTATATACCCAAAGATAAATTGTTCTATCATAAAGAGACACTTCTCAAAAGAAGACATTTATGCAGCCAACAGACACATGAAAAAATGTTCATCATCACTGGTCATCAGAGAAATGCAAATCAAAACCACAATGAGATATCGTCTCATGCCAGTTAGAATGGCGATTATTAAAAAGACAGGAAACAACAGATGCTGGAGAGAATATGGAGAAATAAGAACGTTTTTACACTGTGGGTTGGAGTGTAAATTAGTTCAACTGTTGTGGAAGTGGCGTTCCTCAAGGATCTAGAACTAGAAATACCATTTGACCCAGCCATCCCATTACTGGGTATATACCCAAAGGATTATAAATCATGCTACTATAAAGACACATGCACACGTATGTTTATTGTGGCACTATTCACAATAGCAAAGACTTGGAACCAACCCAAATGTCCATCAATGATAGACTGGATTAAGAAAATGTGGTACATATACACCATGGAATAGTATGCAGCCATAAAAAAGGATGAGTTCATGTCCTTTGAATGGACATGTATGAAGCTGGAAACCATCATTCTTGGCAAACTATCACAAAGACAGAAAACCAAACACTGCATGTTCTCACTCATAGGTGTGAGTTGAACAATGAGAATACATGGACACAGGGCAGGGAACATCACACACCAGGGCCTGTCATGGGGTGGGGGCCTGGGGGAGGGATAGTATTAGGAGAAATACCTAACATGAATGAAGAGTTTATGGGTGCAGCAAACCAACATAGCATGTGTATACCTATGTAACAAACCTACACGTTGTGCACATGTACCCTAGAACTTACTAGAGGCCTTTATCTTTAGCAAACTAATGTGGAACAGAAAACCAAATACCCCATGTTTTCACTTATAACCTGGAGCTAAATTATGAGAACACATGGACACACAGAGAGGAACAAAAGACACTGGGGCCTACAAGGGGGTGCAGGGTGGGAGGAGGGGGAGGATCAGGAAAAAATAACCAATGTGTACCTGGCTTAGAAACTGGGTGATGAAATAATCTGCACAACAAACCCCCATGACACAAATTTACCTACATAATAAACCTACACATGTACTCCTGAACCTAAAAGTTAAAAAAGCATACGTATCAAAAAAGGCATCCCATATTCAAAGATTAGAAAATTTATATTGTTAAAATGTTCGTATTACCCAAAGCAAACTACAGATTTAATGTAATCCCTATTAAAATTCCAATGACAGTTTTCAGAGAAATGGAAAAGACAATCTTAAAATCTGCATGAAACCACAAAAGATTCCAAATAGCAAAAGCAATCTCGAGCAATAAAACCAGAAGCTGGAGGCGTGACACTACTTGACTTCAAAATATACTACAAAGCTGTAGTAATGAAAACAACATGGTACTGGCACAAAAACAGACACATAAGCCAACAGAACACAATAGCCTAGAAAGAAATCCAAGCATTTATTGTCAAATGACATTTTGACAAAGGTTCCAGGAACACATTAGAAAAGGAGAGTCTTTCAATAATTTAGGTTGTAACAACTGTATGTTCACATGCAGAATAATGAAATTAGACTCTAATCTATACTAAATATAAACATTACCTCAAAATTGATTAGAGATTTCAACGTAAGACCTGAAACTGTAAAACTACTAGAAGAAAACATAGGATATAAGCTTCATGACATTGGTCTGGACAATGAATTTTTGGATATGACCTCAAAAGTACAAGTCACAAAAGTAAAAATAAACCAGTAGGGCTACATCAAACTAAAAAGCTTCTTCTAGTAAAGGAAACAAATCAAAAGAGTGAAAAGACAATCTACAGAATGGAAAAAATATTTGCAAATCGTATATCTGATTAAAGGTTAATATCCAAAACATATAAGGAACTCAACTCAATAACAATAAAACAAATAACCCTATTTAAAAATGGGCTAAAGACCTGAATAAATATTTCTCAAAATAAGACATTTGAATGGCCAACAGGTATATGAAAAACTGCTCCATATCACTAATAATTAGAGGAATGAAATTAAAACCACAATGAGATATCAACTCAGACCTGTTAAAATAGATTTCATCAAAATATGAAGGATAAATATTGACAAGGGTATGGAGAAAAGAGAAACCTTGAATACTGTTGATGGGAATGTAAATTAGTACAGCCATTGAGGAAAATAATATGGAAATTTCTCAAAAATTAACAATTGAACTACCGTATAATCCAACAATTCTACTTCTGAACATATATCCAAAGGAAATGAAATCAGGATATGCAAGAGATATCTGTACTGCCATGTTCTTTGCAGCATTATTCATAATAGCCAAGATATGGAATCAACCTAAGTGTCCATCAGTGGATGCATGGATAAAAAGTGTGGTATATATACTATTCAGCCTTAAAATAGAAGAAAATTCTATTCATTTGTAATAATATCGATAAACTTGGAGGACACCATGTTAGTTAGAATATGACTGGCAAAGAAAGGCTGAATGATCTCACTTACATGTGGAATCTAAAGAGCTGATCTCATTGAAACAGAGTAGATGATAGTTACCAAGGGCTGCAGAGTGGAGTGGGTTTAGGAGATGTCGTTCAAATGATACAAAATTTCAATTAATCAAGAAATCTATTGTACAACATAGTGACTATAGTTAATAAAATGTATTCTTGAAAATCTCTGAGAGAGTAGATTTTAAGTGTTCTCTTTACAAAAAATTGTAAGTATGTTAGGTAATGCACATGTTAATTAATTCAATTTAGCATTCCACATTGTTTATATTTTTCAATACATCATGCTATACATAATAAATATATATAATTTTATAATTAATTAAAACAATGAATTTTAAAAAATATTCTGTTGGAGCATAATGAGAGCCTCCCCACATATAGATGTCAGTATTCAAATATTGATTTTATTTGTATGTTTGCTTGTTTTTGAGGTTGAAAGTCTCATGTCTTCATTGATATAGTGTGGGATTGGGACATCAGGAATAGTAGTAGTAATTAATATTAATGACTAAATACTAATTTGCATTGACTAAACTATGAAAGGAACAGGCCAAGAAAGTTGGAGAATATATAAGAAAACATGTATTCTAAATATTCAAATTTTATTACACTGTTAATAGTCAGACTACTAAACATATAACTCAAAAAAGTTATAGAATACATTTCTTAGTTGCCTTTCTAAAATAGGTATGACTTAGTTAAAGAAAAGTAAAAGGAACATTTATCTATCTGTCTATTGTACACACAGACAAATACATTTATACATATGTGAATTACTGGAAAATTCCACGTTTTGGGGAGGGAAATTAGGTAGTTGAAGAGATGATAAACTATACTTAAAAATAAAAATAATATTCATTAAAATTATACTTCAGGCAAGAAAATTATTTTCATTTCTTAAGAATGGTTTATCATCTCTTCAACTACCTAATTTCCCCCACAATGGAATTTTCCAATAATTCACATATGTATAAATGTATTTGTGTGTGTATACACCTAGACAGATAAATGTTCCTTTTACTTTTCTTTAAGTCATACCTATTTTAGAAAGGCAACTAAGAAAATTGAATATTTTCAATAGATTACACAAAATAATGTATTCTATAACTTTTCTGAGTTGTATCTTTATTAATCTGAATATTGACCAAGTATGCTAAATACTATTAGCACAGGTATCGAGTACAAAATTTTATTGTTTCAACATGAAAATACATTGGTTTTCTTCTACTTTTTTCTTGAGAATTAATGTGACTAAAATATATCAGATGATTTTATTCAAATTGCCTGACACATTAGTAGTGGTTGATAAATCAGCCTGACAGCAGGATTAAACCTCCTGATTAGACCTCACTGGGAGAAGAACAACATGCTTGACTGTGTGAGTTCCCAGGAAGCAGATTCTGAGAATTTAGTACTCAGAATGTTTACTAGGGAGGGCTTTTAGGATGAATAACTTAGGAAGGGAGGTTAAGAAAGCAAGATGGGACAAAGAGAGAAACTGAGTTGTGATAAATGCCCAAATGCTGTGGGAAGTGCTAAGGCAGAAATAACCTGTAGGAGTTCTCCCATCTTGCCCCATGTGGCTGTGCCCTTATACCCAACCTTTATCACGCATCAGACTTGGTCCATCCTGAAAGAGCTTTACCTTGGGCAAGGTGGCTCTACCTGCTACTGAGAAAATGAAGGCTGTCCACTAACAGCATTCTCAGTATCGGACCCAATTCTCCCCATGAAAGCCAGGTTTGTGATGATCATGAGCAATAAAATTAAATATTGTGGTAGAGTTATTTAGTTTAATTTGTTCTGTTTGTTTTTTACTTTGACTTTGTTCCTATTGTGGTAAAATCACGACTTGAGATCTATCCCCTTCCTTTTTTTTTTTTTTTTTAAACAGGGTCAGGCTGTGTCGCCCAGGCTGGTGTGCGCACAGGTCTCACTGCAGCCTCGGCCTCCAAGGCTCAAGCAATTCTCCTCCCACAACCTACTAAGTAGCTGAGACCATAGGCACACAGCACCATGCCCAGATAATTTATTTATTTTATTTATTTTTATTTTTTGTTGAGACAGTTTTTCACCATGGTGCCCCGGCTAGGCTCGAACTCCTGGGCTCAAGCAATCTTCCCGCCTCGGTCTCCCAAAGTGATGAGATTATATGAGTGAGTTTTCACACCCAGCCAAGATCTACCCTCTTAACAAATGTTTAAGCACTGAATACAATATTGTTAACTAAAGGCACAATGTTGCACAACATATCTCTAGAACTTATTCACCTTGGATAACTGAAAGTTTACACCCATTGAACATCAGCTCCTCACTCCTCATTTCCCCTTGTGCCCAGACCCTGGTAACCATCATTCTAACTTCCTGTTTCTGTGAGTTTGACTATTTTAGATACCTCATGGAAGTGGAATCCTGTAGGTTTGTTATTCTGTAACTGGCTTATTCCACTTAGCATAACGTCTTCCAGGTTCATCCTTCTTGTTGTGCATGGCAGGATTTCCTTCGTTTTTAAAGCTGAATAATATTTTATTGTATGTTATACCACATTTTCTTTACCCATTCATTTGTCAATGAGCATTTAGTTTATAACCATATCTTGACTATTGTAAACAGTGTGCAAAGAACACAGGAGCACCAATATTTCTTTGAGATAGTGATTTCATTTCCTTTGGATATATACTCAGAAGTAGAATTGCTGAATCACATGCTACTTCTATTTTTAACTATTGGAGGAACCACCAGGCTATTTTTCATAATGGCTGAAACACTTTTACATTTCCACCAATAGTGTAATAGCGTTCTAATTTCGTCACATTGTTGTTAGCACATATCTTTTGTCTTTTTGATAATAGCTATTCTAACAGGTATAATAAGGTGATACCTCATTGTAGTTTTGATTTGCATTTCCTTGACGATTCGTGATTTGGAATGTTTTTCTATATACTGTTGTCCATGCGTATGTCCTCTTTGGAGATTCCTATTTATGTTTTTTCCCATTTTTTAACCAGGTTATTTGTTTATTTGCTATTGAAGTGTTTGAGTTCCTTATATATTTTGGTTATTAACCCCTTACCAGATGTATGATTTCCAATCTATTCTCTGAATTCTTAGATTATCACTTTTCTTGGTTGATTATTTTATTTGCCGTGGAGTAGTTTTTTTGGTTTATGTAATCCCATTTGTCTATTTTCGCTTTTGTTGCTTGTGCCTTTGATGTCATATTCAATAAATCACTACCAAAACAAATGTCATGAGGCTTTTCCCCTATGTTTTATTCTAGGAGTTTATACTTTCAGGTCTTTTAAATCTTTCATCTATTTTCACTTTGTATGTGTGTGTGTTGTGTGTACCATGTAAAGTAAGGGTACAATTTCATTCTTTTGCATGTGGTATCCAGTTTTTCCAGCACCATTTGCTGCAGAGTGGATAATACACTATAATCAAGTGAGATTTATCCCTCAGCATGGTTCAACATATGTAAATCAATTAATGTGATATACTACCTTAGCAAAGTGAAGGATAAAAATCACATGATCTTCTCAATAGATGCAGAAAAAGCATTTGACAAAATCCAACATAGTTTAATGATAAAAACTCTCAATAAATAAGAATAGAAGGAATTTACCTGTGGGAAATTCTTGCTTATTGAGAGTTTTTATTCTTTTTTCTATTCTTGTTTATTAAGAGTTTTTATCATGAAAATATGCTGGATTTTTCATAAGTGGCCTTTATACTCAATGGTGAAAACCTGAAAACTTTTCTTCTAATATAAGGAATAAGGCAATGACTCCTATTTTACTACTTCTATCCAACATACTACTAGAAGTCCTAGTTGGAGAAATTCGGCAAAGAAAAAGAAATATAAAGATTCCAAATCAGAAAGGAAGAAGTAAAATTATCTCAGTTTGCAGATGACATAATCTTATATTAAAAAATCCTAAATAATTCTCACATACAAACAGAAACTGTAGAATTGATAAACAAATTCAATAAAGTTGCAAGATACAAAATCAACATGAAAATATTAGTTGTGTTTTTACATACTAATAATGAACTATCTGAAAAGCAAATTAAGAAACAATCCAATTTACCATAACATTGAATATAATAAAATATTTAGAAATGAACTAACTCAAGAAGGTAAAAAACTTTTACACAGAAGACTATAAAACATTGGTGAAAGACTTCAAGATACATACAAATAGAAAGGCAACCTGTGTTTATGGTTTGGAACAATTAATATTAAAATTATCATACTACTCAAAGCTATCCATAGATTCAGTGCAATTCCTATAAAAATCCCATGGCATATTTTACAGAAATGAAAGACAACAGTCCTTAAATTTATATGGAACCACAAATAAACCTCTAATGGACAAAGTAATCTAAAGAAAGAAGAGAAAAGCTGGAAGGCATCAAACTTCCAAATTTCAAAAACATATTATGAACTTCAGTAATTAACACCATATGGTATTGGCATAGACATGAACATGCAGACCAATAGAACAGAATAGAAAGCCCATAAATAAACCTATGAATGTATGGTCAACAGGTGTTCAGCAAGGATGTCAAGAGCACACAATAGGGAAAATATAGTCTCTTCAAACAAATGATGTTGAAAAAACTGGATGTTCAGGTGTAAAGTTATTTTAATATAACCTGTTCCATGCTGCATCACGTTGGTCATTTTTTAAAAAATACTGTAATTTGCATAGATATCAATGGCATTTATCTCTTATGCCATCTTTGTATTATCTTAACTTTCACCCCAGAAAGAGCAGTGTGACACTGTCTATTTTTAACAGTTGTTTGATGATTTTTTTAAAGCTGAAAATGTAACAGTTTGTGGTGGTAATCCATTTCCAAATATCCTAGCAAATTGTAGATGTCAAAGAGCCTATCTTAAAGAATTTCGGAGCTGAGTTATTTTTTTCCCTAACATTAGCAATGACCATTTTCACTTTGACTTCACAGCATGTCATCATGTTTCACTTGCTCACAATTTACTCCATTCCCCTGCATGCTTCCCACACACAAATGTTGATGCTTACATTTCCTCTACCATTCCTTAGGCCCTACTCTCTCCATGACTGGCTACAGATTTGGTACTGAGGAATTTATACCTTGTTTCAAAAGTCTGTGAAAATTTTACCTGATTAACTAGAACATTATTTCCATTAAAGCATCATGTGTCTTTTACTTCTTCCATCCTAATACCCACCCAATCATTGACTTTCAATTGTTTGTAACATAATGATAACTTGAATATGAAAATATTATGATCTTCAAATAAAATCCTAGGCTGCTGTCTACCACCAAGTGTACAATTTGCCATTTCTGATTATAGAAATATGTCTTAACCTTAAAGAATCAAGGACTCCAGGGATCTTTAAGTTCTGGTAGTGAGGAGAGTCAAAAAGGTATATCTCACCAAAGAGCCAGTGAAAAGGTAAGAACATCATTATCATATTGCAAATTTAGAACCTAATGTAAAGTTGAATTTTAAAAACAGAGTCAAGGCTGGGCATGGTAGCTTACACCTGTAATTCCGCAATTTGGAAGGCCAAGGCAGGAGGATTGCTTGGGCCTGGGAGGCAAAGGTTGCAGGGAGCCATGATTGATCATGCCACTACACTCCAGCCTTGGCGACAGAGTGAGATGCTGAAAAGAATGAACACAAGAAGGAAGGAAGGAAGGAAGGAGGGAGAGAGGGAGGGAGGGAGGGAGGAAGGAAGGAAGGAAAGGCTAGAGTCAAGAAGTTGAAAGTAAATAATGAAACCAGGTTTTCAGCGGCAATGGATCATTTAAACCGAGGATTTAGACAAGAAACAATCCAAAATAATTTCTGCAAAGAAGAACCATAGTATAATGGTGCTACAGTCCTAAAACTTAACAGCTCGAAATATGCCATTTTGATGACTGCAAATATCCGATATTCAGGCATTTCTCAGTACAAATTAGTTATATATTTTTGCATGAGAAATTCAACCATTATGGTTGTAAGATGGAGCTAATATTACTAAATGTCTTCCATATGTCCAGCACTTTATATATGGCATTTTAATGAATCCTTTCAGTGGCTTTATGGCATAGGTTTTATTAACTCCATTTTAAAAAGAAAAAACTGAGGTTCAGGGAGGTAAAGCAATTTGCCAACACTAGGAAGATCTGCAATGAAAAATCTGCCCAACTTGAAAGTACACTTAATTTTCACTACTGTAGGTTGTCTAACTATGAAGGACATTATCTCAAAGGACAAAGTATATGTATCTTTTGTTTGTGGCCAGGCAGATACACACTCACACAAATCATGGGTGCTTCAGGTCCCATGTTTCAGTGTGTATGTGTTTGTTTACTTATTCTAATCTGAGACTGAAATACTCATTTCTATATCTTCGGTTTGGAATGTCTCTTCTCAGCACTGGTTTTGTGTATCCTCCACATCGCACTGCGTTACACGGTGCCTGATGCTAGTTGACTCTTCAGGAAAGTCCTGACTTTTCTATTTAGCATTTATAAAAATGAGAAATATAAGTGTGGCCATATAAATAATTAATGTTAAAACAAATTGTTATGAGACTTACTATGGTTTTTTTTTGATGTTTATTCTCATATTTTTTAATCACGGTAACCCTAACAGTGACAAAACTAAATCTTCACTATTTATTAGAGAAATGGGTAATCTGACTGTAGGAACATTTCTGAATGGAACGTTCAGAAATAAAATCCTACGAAATTATTATATTAGTGATTATATTAATATGGAAATGACTTACGTTGTCATGTTAAGTAAAAAAAGCAAAATGAAAACAAATGTGTAATCATAACTACGTAATACAAATGAAGAAAAAATAATAGCAAAAAATCTAAAATTAAGTAACCTATATTTTATATTGAGTTTTTTTTTATTATACTTTAAGTTTTAGGGTACATGTGCACAACGTGCAGGTTTGTTACATATGTATACATGTGCCATGTTGGTGTGCTGCACCCATTAACTCTTCATTTAACATTAGGTATATCTCCTAATGCTATCCCTCCCCCCTCCCCCCACCCCACAATAGGCCCCGGTGTGTGATGTTCCCCTTCCTGTGTCCATGTGTTCTCATTGTTCAATTCCCACCTATGAGTGAGAACATGTGATGTTTGGTTTTCTGTCCTTGTGATAGTTTGCCAAGAATGATGGTTTCCAGCTTCAACCATGTCCCTACAAAGGACATGAACTCATCCTTTTTTATGGCTGCATAGTATTCCATGGTGTATATGTGCCACATTTTCTTAATCCGGTCTATCATTGTTGGACATTTGGGTTGGTTCCAAGTCTTTGGTATTGTGAATAGTGCCGCAATAAACATACGTGTGCATGTGACTTTATAGCAGCATGATTTATAATCCTTTAGGTATATACCCAGTAATGGGATTGCTGGGTCAAATGGTATTTCTAGTTCTAGATCCCTGAGGAATTGCCACACTGACTTCCACAATGGTTGAACTAGTTTACAGTCTCACCAACAGTGTAAAAGTGTTCGTATTTCCTATGACCTGAATATACTGGACAACAATTTAAACAAATATTTTTAGAAGAAGCAAGAGCAAGTTGGGCAGCTATCCTCTTCCTCTAGTTACTTCTTTCATGTCAGGGCCTTTTATTATACCCCAGCTAATTTTGTATTCAGCTATAAAGTCTCAGGTACTCAGACATTATCTAAGTATTCCCCAGCCCCTGAATTGCCTTACAGATACCTGTTAGATCTGTCATAATATGAACACAGATAGAATGAAAGCAATAAACAGAGATTGAAATTGGTTAAAATACCACCATAGTGCTGCAATAATATCAACCCATTTTTTTCCTCAGCAACTATAGGTTACAATTCCTTGAAAATACAATAAACAATAAATGTCATTCTGTAGAAGCTTTGGGAAATGGCTAAATCTTCACAAAGCAAATGTTTCTAAAGAAACCCTGTGGGTACAGTGAGCATTTTAGCAAAGAAAATAATTTGATCCAGATTCTTTTTATAGATGCTCACCAGGGGAAAGGGATTATTCCTGCTACCAACATGCTCACCTGGGATCAGAGAAGACTAGAGTTTGCTAACAGGCTGTGTTGCAGATGCATATATTTCTTCCTTGCATTTTTACAATGAGACTGTTTTTATATGGTGGAAATACTCCAAATGTAAACAAAGAAAAATTAAGCTGAAAACTGCTAATGCTAAGTTTAGGGTTTGCAGAAAATATCAGCTAGTGAAGAACAGCTGCCAGAATAAGACACTTGTGCTCGTAGAGATGATTTTTCTTACAAATTTGAAAGAAATTAAAATGATGAATCATAAGCCCTGCTATAAATAAATTATGACCGCAAATTGCCAGATACAGAAATATTCTCATTAAAGTCCATTGTCTTTGAAGACAAAATTGCCTCATTTATTATTTCAGTAGACTCAAGCCAATTTAGAACAATTAAAGCCTGCATTATCAAACATGCTTGATATGCACTGAAAATACATTAGAAGAGAAACAGGTGCTGTTTCAATCTAATAGGATCAATCACTATCTCCTATAAGAAGCATGACACTTTGTTGTGCAAGAAATTTAGAGTGTCTCATTGAATGAATGCCAATTTCCAATCAGCCAATGACAATGTGGCATCAGTCTATGCCAACTGGTTCATGCACTTATTTATTAATTCATTCATTTATTCAATCAATCCTTCTACATGTCTACTATACTGATTACATGCCAGGCAACTGGTCAAGCATGGTGGAAAACCAAAAAGATTAGAAAACATTGTAATTTAAAATATGCATGTTCTCTAGGAGAGTAGGAATGACATGTACTCCAATAAAGGTAATGTAAGGGTGAAATTGAGTTGTACACGCAGTGCCTAGAAGTTGAATGGAAGAAAAACTCTTCTGATTGGAGAGGACAGGGAAATCTATGAGACATTAGAATGATGTTAACTGGCACCTGAGAACTATAAGATTACTACCTATAGATATTAAGGGAGAATACTTCATGTGGAATAAAGAGTGAAAAACTGGGCAAATAGGGTGTAATAGTGAAGAGTTCAGTTTAGAGCAGATGGAACATTAAAGAAAGTTGTGGTAGATAAGGCTGAAAAAAATCAGAGCAAGGTTGGAAGTTTGTCTAACAAGATTGTCCAGCAATGTCTCCTTTGTCTATTCTGACTTTGGTTACTTGAAACTTCTCTCACGTTTGTACTACTCACTTATGCCAGAAATTTCTCATTTTAATTACAAATTTCAGGAAATTTATTTTTAAACATTTTATTATATATTTTTTATTTTATTAATATTTATTTCTATGATATTCTGACTTTAACATTCTCCAGATTTACTGTGCCAGTTTTCTTAGACTGACATTTAAGTACACTAATTTTCAGATTTACATTACAAAACATTTACATTAATTTTGTCAAAAAATTATAAAATTGAAATGAGATAGGTGACATAGAAATACACACGGTATATACAAAACTGACACAAATAGAAATAAAAAGCCTTAATAATTCTAGAACCATTTAAGGATTTGATTATGTATAACCAAACAAATAAACAAAACAATTCACAAATGAACTTCCTGGCCAGATGGTTTTATCAGTAAGTTCTATTAAACTTTCAAAGAATAAATGTTTTTCACAATATGTTAAAATGTCAGAGAAAAAGAAAATTGCAAAGATTTTGTAATTTACTATAGGAACTCAACCTAATCTTAATCAAAACCTGATAAGAACAATATAAGAAAAGAAAATCATATGCCAGTATTACCCCATAAAGCTTAAATAAAATATAAGTAAAGCAAATGCAGCAGTGTATGCAAATATGTTATATATGTTCAGTTGTGATTATCACAGAAATTTGAAGTTGGTATTGTGTTCTACATTCAATAAATAAGATGTGTTGCATTAACAAATTAATGAGAAAAATATCTTGTTGAAAAGTTATATAGCAAAATTCATAATCCATTCATAATACAATTTCTTGATAAACTGGAAATGTCATGTAACTTTCTCAACATGGTAAAGGCATGTACAAAATCTTACAGTGAAAATAAAAACTAAATGTCTGATTATTTTCTTCCTTAGAGTTAATATGAGTCAAGTATTCTTGCTTTTACTATTTCTATTTAATACTGAAGAACTGAGATTGTCTAATACACAAAAAATGATTGACAAGAAATAAAAAGTTCTGCAATTGTATAAGTAGCATTTCAAAAGAAGATATATGTGCATACATGCACACATGCATACCTTATCAAGTATGCAAGATTTTACATTAATATCTAAAACTTAACTGGCTCAATGATTTAGAAATAAAAGGAAAATCACCATTTAAGATAGCAGAAAAATATCATGTATCTAGAAATAACGAAACATTTACATTAAAATATGTATACTTTGTACACATAGAAGATATGAATAAATGGAGAATTATGCTATGTCAATGAATTAAAGTATTCCATATTTAATGTGATGTGACTTTTTTTTCAAATTGCTTTATAACCACAGAATCTGTGAAATGCGGAGGGTTGGTGGGGGTGAGGATTTATACATTTATAAGGAATACAAAGGACAAAATGGCCTAGATAGCATAGCCTAGATAGTAGTCCCACTCAAAGTCCCATAGAAAAAGAGAATCTGAAGAGGAAACTTAATTGCTAATGCTTAATTGTGAGTGTTATTTTCAGGGGAAAAAATAAGGAAATAAAGATTTGAAGCCAAAATATAAATGGGAAGCAAATATATTATGATGCATTCACAAGATGGCTGCTTCTTCACAAGGAGACGGTCACTTGGCCACACAGGACGTTTGTAGAGGTTGTACAGAAACACTACACCTCAGAAGTCCATGCACGATCGCAATGGAGAAAGACTTTATCAGCTGCCTCCCATCTCTGATGTGCTATTGATCAAGTTTGGTGTTATGAGAAATTAGCCTGGCCCCTTTGGCAGCTGGTGGGAAAGTCTCACCTCATATCTTGCCACACAGTGCTCACACCAAAATAGAAAATAGTGGGAGAAGCCAGGGACTCCAGGTGTTGACCTAAGTGAAAAATGTGGCTGCCCCTCACAGGGTCCGTCTGCTGCTTTGGAGTCAGGTTGGAACAAGCATCTCAGTGCCCAGGAGGCAGGAGCATCTGACAGAATCCAAGGTATCATAGAAGATGATTTTAACAAAGTGGGAAAGTTTTACCAGATAGCAAGACTTAATATTAAGCTCTAGTGGTTACCATCCTATGGCATTGGGACGGAAAGTAGGCCAAAGGGTCAAAACAGAAGACCCTGAAGTAAAACCAGGCATATATGGGAACTATTTATGACAGATAATTCTGCGGTACTGGCAACACTCAGTGTATTGATTTGGGTATCAGTTACAATAGTATTGACTTGTTACATTCTATCTGTAAAACTGATTTTACTCGGTAAATTGTGTGTTTGAATACTATACTCTGTAAAAAATTAGTATAAAATAAATGCAACTGTTTCTGTCAAACATATGCATCGTCTTTCTACATCCAAATTTTAAAAATCAATTTGTCTATACTTTAAAAATATCCTTCAGGGATTTTTATTATGTTTGCTTTGAATCTATAGGTCAGGATAGAAAGAACAAAAGTGAGTCTCCCAATTCATGAACACATTTCTTTCCATTTATTTGGGTTGTCTTTGATTTCTTTCTTAGGTGTTTTACATTTTTTGCCATACAGATTCTGTACATATCTTATTCAATATGTATTTCAGCATTTCACCTTCTGATATCACTGTAAATGTTATTATTATTTGTTTTTAATTTTAAATTCCAAATGTTCATTGCTAGTATGTAGATATACAATTGATTTCTGTAAATTGAACTTCCATCCTGTAACCATGCTAAACTCACTTACTAATTCTAGGAACTTCTTTTGCAAATACTTTGTCATTTTTCTAAGTATGCAATCACACAGTCTGCGAATAGAGACAGATTTATTTTTTCTGTTCTAATTTGTTTTCTAAGAGTCCCTGGGGAAAAGTAATTTTTATTATTTCAAGTTTGAATGTGTTGGTTTCAGCATTAGATTAAAAGAAACTAAAATATCTTAACAGTATTTAATTTATCACAAGTGTCAGATGCTAAGTAGAAAAGGTTGTACTTCTAAGTACAGTATCATCCCTTGGCCTGTTGTCTTGGACCCTCTGTGAAAATCTAGGTAACACAACTCTCCAGGAAATAATTTCTTGGACAGGCTAGCAGCCCATCTTTGCTTGTGTGCCTTATCATCTTGATAGCTTTCACTGTTTTTGATTTTTAACTTGCCTACAGTCTTTTATCCTCACTATATAGATGATAACCAACCACCCAGTTTGCCCCAGACAATTCCTATTCTATCCTTGACAGTGCTACGTCTTTAAAAACAAAACAAAACAAACAAACCTCAGTCCCACACAAACCGGGACTTTGGTCATCCTTGATATAGAATAATATGTATCTTAAGAAAATACTGTTTCTGCTATGAAAAATCACATCTAATATTTCTAGAAATATTAATGCTAACATTTTAAGGTGTAATGAATATGAAACACTGCTCATCAGTCTTAACTGTTTTAACACTTTAAAATCAGACTATCTACTATTTTAGAGCTCTCCCTCTATAATTTGGATGTATTATTGCATTTAAACATCATTTCTATAAACACTTTACATAAAACAAAAATGTTATAATTTACATGACAACCTTATTTATATAAAACACACAAATATTTAGTGCATCCTTCACCTAGTAATATAGAAAATTTTAGTTTTTCTTCACAAAAATCTCTGTACACTGCCCTGGAAATAGCCACACAGCTTATCGTAGAAATAGCTGGAATTCAGACAAATGTGTCTGCCATTTATCACATCTTATTGAGAAATGAGCTTCATTAAACCCTACTGACTTTGCCTTCTGAAATTTTCCATCATGTTTACCTCCTTCCACCTGCTGTGAGAAACAACTAAACAGTATGTTCACTTTTGAGGCTCCCAGAACACTCAGCAAGAAGTGGAAATCTAAGGTCTTCTGTAGTACTAATTTTGATTTATGTAATGGGGAGAGATTTTTTTATACTAGATTAACTACTTCTCGCTACAGGGTGTAGAAGATGCCTTTGATCAGGAATGATATTATTAATTGTGGTAAGAAATAGGGAAAATATTCTGTAAATGATTCAGTGCAATATGTGATAATATGAAAATAAGGTCATAATATATTACTAAGTGGAAAAAAAGCAGATTATAAAGCAGTATGTGAATTGTGATCCTGTTTTTAAATACATATATAAGTGTACAAAGTCTGGGAGAAAATTCACCTAAATGTTACCATGTCACTGGGTGATGTGATATAACTGGTGGTTTTTACTTACTTTATTTTGCTTCTCTATTTTTAAATGTTCTATAATTCATATGCATTTTTATAAAAATCATTCAACTAATCAAGTTATAAAAAGTACTAGTTTCTGAATATTTGCATGGTTAATATAAGAGCAATGTTGTGTCATCTAAAATGCACTGGACAGCCAGTCAGGTGACTAACAAATTTTAGCTGTAGCACTTACTATGTAATAAGGTATTCAACCTTCATCAGTCTTAGATTTTTCATTTGCAGAATGGAATAAAATGTCTCATATGGCTTCTGGGAAAATGAAATGAGATTCTATACACAAAGATACTTTGAAAGCTCAGCTGATATATAAATATCCAATTGTGCTTTAAAATAATAGTTTCACTAGGCCGAACACGGTGGCTCATGCCTGTAATCTCAGCATTTTGGAAGGCCGAGGCAGGTGGATCACCTGAGGTCAGCAGTTCAAGACCAGCCTGGCCAACATGGCGGAACCCTGTCTCTACTAAAAATACAAAAATTAGCTGTGCATGGTGGCACATGCCTGTAATCCCAGCTACTCTGGAGGCTGAAGCAGAAGAATCACTTAAACCCTGAAGGCAGAGGTTGCACTGAGCCAAGATTTGCCACTGTTGCCTGGGTGACAGAGTGAGACTCAGTAAGTAAATAAATAAAATAATAATAATTGTTATTTTATGGTTTTTAAGCCATAGTTAATGTTCTTAGGCTAAGATTTTAAGCTTACTGCTGGTTGGTTTGTGTATTTGAAAGAAAAAATTAAACTATGTTAAAATATAGAAAATTTTGTATAAAATGTCTTTAGTCAAATCCTTAGTGGGTCATACTATGTTCTCTATAACATATAACTGTATGCCTTTTTAAAAAATTCTAAGTGGTATTTCCAAAAAAAAAATTTCTGAGCATTAATTTATTTTCTACGTTGAATATAAATAAATAATTCTAAGAGCTATATGGGTTTTAAACAAAAATCAAATCGATTTAGAAATTTTTATGCAATAACAGGTTAGAAAAAGAGGTCTAGAAATTTGATGTACATTCTCCAAGTTTTAAAAAATTCTTATCTTAAAAGACACGATACAATTTTTTCCACAACCATGTTCTTTGGCACTACTGGTAGAGATTGAGATAGCTGTGCCATTTGTCTAATGTTTATGTGTTCAGCTCTGAGTGGGCTTGCAATGAAGATTTGTTTCATACATATTTAAGAAAACTGTCTTTCAGAATTTGATCCTGAGAACATTGAATGCCTAAATATTTTAAATTGAGGTTGACTTCACTGGTTATACCCATAATATCTTCACCTTGTGTCTATTTCAGCTTGCAATATTCTAGATTTATAGCAAATATTTCATCTCTCTGGTCTTATACTTTGATTGCCCTAGTTATTAATTGCTCACTAACATGTGTTTGCATCCACAGAAGCCAAAGTATTTTACTAAGTGTGAGAACAAAAAATAACAGAATATGAGGTATCTGCCATTAATAAGTTACAGCTCTATAAAACTCTCAGATTTCCCCCATATAGTTAAGGAGAAAACATCCTGGAGATTTTCTTTTTTGTGACAGTCTATTGGTATTGATTCAGTACTTCATAAAACTTCAGACCTCATCTTCTCTCCCATTATTCATCTTTCTACAGAATATATATATATGGCTCCTGGTTGTGTTAGGTCTCATTTAGGTTCTCCACTTACTCATCTGGGACTAATTCTAAATCCCTTATGCAGAAGAAAGCTGTGCCAAATAGAGGTATTGGAAGATGCTAAAGTCCCAAGAAGTGTTTATATATGGTTTGTAAGCCTTGCTCACAAAAGGCAATTTTTAGCAGTATCTTATTTGATCTCCACCAATTGACAAAGATTGAAGGCTGTGTTGTCATGTGTCTTGCTGTTTATACAAATGTAAATCAGCTCAATAACCGAAGTAAACAATCTTTTCACGTTGTAAAGGGTTCTTTCTGATTTAGGTTATATTGCTAATACAAGGTAAAGCAATAACTGTGAGATTTCTTCAGGGGAGAATGGTAAAGTGTTCCCCCCCAACTACCTCTGTCTCTAAATATTTAGCAGAATCTTTATGATGCAAAGTAGATTTACACATTGTCCTGAAATCCTTCACCTGCACTAATTTTTACCCTTCAGTGATGTGCCATTTGATTCTCTGTCATGCTTAAAATAGAATTGCAATGAAAAGGAAGAAACATGTTCACAGTTAATGAGCTATTACTTGGGTATTTGAGCATAAAGAGACTTCAAGACTTAAGGGAATGAAAGAAAGTACAAATGAAAACTTTTAATCACAACCTAATTTTACTTGTTCACAAATATTTTCTTAGTCATAGAAACTTTTTTGGAGACCTGATTATTGTTTCTTTGAAAATTAAACCCTTTCTTTTTTCCCAGACCTGTCTCATATTCTATTTCCTTGCAGTGCTATGTGTTCACCCCTCTTCATATTGGAATGCATGTCTTTCAGTAACATCAATGGAACACATATGCAAGACTCATTATAGATCCATAAAGTAAAAAGCATGAACATTCACAGCTGTATTTCCTGTGCCTAGAACAGTGCCTGGAACCTAGGTGAACAATGAACTCCTCACAGTGCATTTGATTTGAAAAATCAAATGTCGCCTCTTGTACTTCAGTGATATTACACAAATTACTCAAATTTTCAATAAATGTATTTTCTGTATGAGTGAAGCTTAAAAATATCTCCTGTGTTTAGCTTTTCACCAACATGTGCTCATCCTTTTTACTGTAATTTTTAAAGTTTTCTTTTAGGTTGTGCCTGCTCAGCTTTATTCATTTCCCATTACACTGGAAATATTGGGTTTTATGAATTAATCATATTATTTGTAAAATTTTGCATAGTTTTAATAGATTCTTATAAAATCAGTACAGTTTCCTTTTGCAATTCAACTCTCAAGTGTGACCTACTCTATTTAAAATATCCTCTCTGAGTGTCCCTTTCAAAATCACTTTTCTAAGCTATTTTGGCAAAATTTTATCATTCCATGGAATAAGTAGGCAAGTCAGGGACAGTTTTCTCACTGTTAAGCCTTCGAGATGAGGGCTTCTACATAACATTTATAATCTCTTTGCAAAGAAAGTCCTAGATAGAAAATGAACAGTTTTTAAATATAAAGTAAATTAGTTTAAAAATTAAAAAACAGGTAAAATATTATCCTTTTCTTTCATCTTTAGAAATAATTGTTTATTTAACATTTAACTCATAAAATTTGTGCAGAATTTGGCTAACATTATGTCCTGTGCATTTTATAAAATACAAAACATGCATGTATCAGAACTATTTGAACCATGTGTAGGAAATGGAAAAGTCCTCTTTCAATTTTCAGACCCTGCTATGATCTGTTTTCTACACAAAGGCAGCCAGGTCTTAAGCCCCAGGTACAGGAAATAATCCTGTCTTTACTGACCCTTGAGTTACAATGTCTAAAAATGTACTTTTTAGACCCTTAGTTAACAGTTTATATGACATTCATCTTTTACTCCTGATAGGGACAAGTTGTAACATGCAATAAAGCCTGTGTTACGTGCTATAACTATACAAAGATGGCATTGTATCTTTTCATGTGCAATATCTTGTACAGGGAGAGACCAGGAAGATAAAGAATATTTATGCACTATGGGATTTAAAGAATGCCAATAAAAGTGCCAGAGCATCCACGGAAGGAAAAGGTTGAGTCTAATGGACAAAATCATAGAGTTATCTGAACCTAGCAATGAATAGGTCTGGAAATGATTAATGAATATTGTAGGAGGCATGCCAGAAGAATCTTAAGTTTAGAAGGAGGAAATGGTGCAAATAAAACCACAGAGGTGTGAAAGAATCATAGACCACATTTAAAAAAAGAAAAAAAAAGCTGTCCAACTTAAAGAAAACAGTACAGGAGAAGTTGAAAAATAAAGTAACTAAATCATATTCAAAGGTGTGTGCCTTCTGTAAATCAGAAGAAAAAAATTACTGGGTGCTGCATACAAGTATCTCTGTGTTAAAAGATATCCACAAGTTAGTGCAAGAAATGTTGTGAAGGGAAAAAACAGGCCTGTGAATGAAACAGTTCAGATGATTGCACTGTATTTGGAAAAGCCTTCATTCATAAGCCTGTTTTGAAAGTTTCATTCCGTTTGAAGTAGGAGACAAGGTGGAAAGCAACAAAGAAGACTGAAAGGTCTGAAAACAGCCTTGTGCATTGCCAGAGAGTGAAGAGATGCATGTAGATGTGGAAAGGGGTAAAAACAGAGAAAGACTGGATATGTTAGAGTAATTGCATCCATTCTGCACATACTCAACCATCTGGTACAATCAGAAGTACAGAAATAGGACTGTATCAGGAAAAATCATTTGCAAATGACAATACACAAAAAGAAGCCTGTTACTTGCATAAATAAGGTTTGTCAGTTTCAAATATTAATTCTTCTGACAAATTATTAAACAAACCAACAAATAATACAATTAAAGACAAAAGGGATATAATATGTTTAATAGTACATAAAATTGTTATTGGCAAAAATAAAAGTGCAACTCAACTAATCAAATGCAGGTACAATTATCCTAAAGCCCCTACTAGATGAAAGAATAGGTAACTTGCAGGTCAGAATTGCACTAAGATAAAGCCCAGGCCCAAATACACATACCAGTGCTGTATTCATAATGATGCCTGACTCTCAGCTCTCCAAACCTAGTATTTTCCAAAACTACTGAAGAGGAGTGTCAGTGAGTTGGAGAAGTTCATCCCTGTGCTATCACTACTTAAATTTATGTAAAACTGCTCTTTGCATGAACTAAATTACTAAAGAGAAAAATCTCATAGTGTCACAATTAAGAATAAAATTCTGAAAGTAGATATACTATAAAATGTTCAATCAATAGAAAATGAAAATTAAATATTTTTACATATGTAAATATTTGTCTAATTTTGTAAAAAATTGAAGTTTCTAGTGGGGACTTATTGAAACATCGAAAATTAGAAAAGGAAAAAAAATCTTTATCTGCAGGAACTTCTCCAGCTTTACTGGTATTTAATTTTCAAGTTATGCTAACAATGGAATCTATAAACCACTAAAAGCATTAATACAATAAACCATCACTAATTAAAGAAAGGAAAAGAAAAGGAAACTTTCAAGAATAGAAATCATTCTAAATTGTATAATAATCGTATAAGAAAAAATTTTTCCAATTACTCTACATTTTAGAGACGATTCTAGAAATGGTAACATCAAGGTAAATTAATCATGCCATATAATACGTATTTTTACCCAGTACTTATTTTGTTTAATAAATCCCTTAAAATGAATATCGACCCATATATTTCATATATTATATAGAGGTGTATATCTCTGGAAAAAAATGGCTACACATATAGTAATATGATTACTTTTATGAGGTAGAATATTATTGATTTCATAAGGTAAATATTTAAAATGCCCAGTTAATACTACTCTTTTAATATTTAAAATTTATACATTTCCCCCCATATTTTAACAAATTCTTAATTAGTGAAATTGAATTTGGGGAGATATACTAGTACAAGGAGAGAAGAAAGAGCATACGAGCTGCTATATCTCAATAAAGGACATGCAAGTAACCAATATCTGCAAAGATGTTTTGAATTATCAGTAATTCTGTAAACACCAGCCAATTCATTGGTTTTTTTAACTTGCAGATTGAGAGATATTGTAATACAATTTTTGTTCTTATGCAAATCGTGCACATTTATCATAAACAGAGAGACAATCTAGAAGTTTAAATGAACCCTGTGATACCAGACCACCTGGGTTTAAGTCCTGGCTCTGCAAATTACAAGCTGTTGTAACCTTAGGCACAATGCCCTGCCAAGTCCTATCAGAGTTTGAGACAAATGGAAGAATGTATATCCCCATACATACTTACCTAAATATCCTTGTTTATTTTGAACCAAGTGGAGAAAGTTAATACAAGCTCACTAAATGTATTAACTAAAAAGTTAATACAAGCTCACTAAATATGGTATAATTTTTGTTTTTAAGGCACACCTGTATAGGATACTTACTGTAACTGGAGCTTGCAGGCCTGAAGTTGTTGTGTGTGAGTCAGTGAGTGAGTGATGAGTGAATGTGAAGGTGTAGAACATTACTGTACACTACAGAAGACTTTATAAAAACTGTACACTTACATTACATTAAATTTATTTATATTTTTCTTTCTTCAATAATAAACTAAACTTAGCCTGCAGTAACTATTTTGCATTATAAACTTTTCAAAGTTGTTTAACATTTTGATGTTTGTAATAACAATTAGCTTAAAACACAAATATTATACTGCAGTACAAAAATATTTTCTTCCTTTTTATCCTTATTATAAAATATTTTTTCTACTTTTTAATTTTTAATTTTTTTAACTTTATAAATTTTTTTGTTAAAAATTAAGATGCAAACATATACATTAACATACACATTAGCGTAGGCCTACACAGGGTCATAATTATCAATATCACAGTCTTCCACCTCCATACTGTGTCCCACTGGAAGGTCTTCGGGGGCAGTAATACTCATGGAGCTCATCTCCTGTGATAATAGTGCCTTCTAGAATACCTCCTGAAGGACTGCCTGAGGCTGTTTATAGTTAAATTTTCTTAGTAAGTAGGCGTATACCCTAACCTAATGATAAAAAGTAGAATATAGTAAACACATAAACTGATAATATAGCCACTACTATTATCAAATATGAACTATACATAATTGTATGTGCTGTACTTTTATTGCAACTTTTATGCAACATGTGAATAATATGTTGTGTCAGGATGTTATGACACCTACAATGTCAATAGACGATAGAAAATTTTTAGATATAAAATGAAATAAAATAAATATGAAAATAATAAATAATAAATAAATATGAAAATAATAAAATATAAGGTGTAAGGAAGGGATCCAGGTTCAGCTTTCTAAATATGGCTAGCCAGTTTTCCCAGCACTATTTATTAAATAGGGAATCATTTCCCCATTTTTTGTTTTTGTAAGGTTTGTCAAAGATCAGATGGTTGTAGATATGTGGCACTCTCTCCTAAGGCTCTATTCTGTTCCATTGGTCTATATCTCTATTTTGGTACCAGTACCATGCTGTTTTGGTTACTGCAGTCTTGTAGTATAGTTTGAAGTCAGGTAGCATGATGCCTCCAGCTTTGTTCTTTTGGCTTAGGATTGAGTTGGCAATGTGGACACTTTTTTGGTTCCATAGGAAGTTTAAAGTAGTTTTTCCCAATTCTGTGAAAAAAGTCATTGGTAGCTTGATGGGGATGGCATTGAATCTATAAATTACCTTGCATAGTAGGGCCATTTTCCTGATATTGATTATTCCTACCCATGAGCATGGAATTTTCTTCTATTTGTTTGTATCCTCTTTTATTTCACTGAGCAGTGGTTTGTAGTTCTCCTTGAAGAGGTCCTTCACGTCCCTTGTAAGTTGGATTCCTAGGTATTTTATTCTCTTTGAAGCAATTGTGAATGGGAGTTCACTCATGATTTGGCTATCTGTCTTTTATTCGTGTATAAGAATGCTTGTGATTTTTGCACATTGATTTTGTATCCTGAGACTTTGCTGAAGTTGCCTATCAGCTTAAGGAGATTTTGGGCTGAGATGATGGGGTTCTCTAGATATACAATCATGTCATCTTCAAACAGGGACAATTTGACTTCTTCTTTTCCTAATTGAATACACTTTATTTCCTTCTCCTGCCTGACTGCCGTGGCCAGAACTTCCAACACTATGTTGAATAGGAGTGGTGAGAGAGGGCATCCCTGTCTTGTGCCAGTTTTCAAAGGGAATCAGAGAAAAGCAAATCAAAACCACCATGAGATACCATCTCACACCAGTTAGAATGGCGATCATTAAAAAGTTCAGGAAACAACAGGTGCTGGAGAGGATGTGGAGAAATAGGAACACTTTTACACTGTTGGTGGGACTGTAAACTAGTTCAACCATTGTGGAAGTCAGTGTGGCGATTCCTCAGGGATCTAGAACTAGAAATACCATTTGACCCAGCCATCCCATTACTGGGTATATACCCAAAGGATTATAAATCATACTGCTATAAAGTCACATGCACACATATGTTTATTGCAGCACTATTCACAATAACAAAGACTTGGAACCAAGCTAAATGTCCAACAATGATAGACTGGATTAAGAAAATGTGGCACATATACACCATGGAATACTATGCAGCCATAAAAAATGATGAGTTCATGTCCTTTGTAGGGACATGGATGAAGCTGGAAACCATCATTCTCAGCAAACTATCGCAAGGACAAAAAACTAAACACGGCATGTTTTCACTCATAGGTAAGAATTGAACAATGAGAACACATGGACACAGGAAGGGGAACATCACACACCAGGCCTGTTGTGGGGTGGGGGGAGGGGGGAGGGATAGCATTAGGAGATATACCTAATGTTAAATGACGAGTTAATGGGTGCAGCACACAAACATGGCACATGTATACATATGTAACTAACCTGCACACTGTGCACATGTACCCTAAAACTTAAAGTATAATAATAAAAAATAAATAAATAAGAAAATAATAAAATAAAATGAAATCTATTTATATGTGGAAGATATATAGAAATTTATATGTGGATATATGGAGAGAGCTATATAGGAAAACATATACAGTTGGCCCTTGAAAAATGGGTTTGAACTGCAAAGATCCACTTATATGTGGATTTTCTTTCACCTCTGCTACCCCTGAGATAATAGGACAAACCTCTTCTCCCGCTCCTCCTCCTCAGCCTACTCAATATGAGGAAGACAGGAATGAAGATCTATAGGATGACCCTCTTCCACTTAATGAATAGTTAAGTGGAATAATTTTTCCTTATTATTTTCTTAATAACATTTCCTTTTCTCTTGCTTACTAGAATAGAGAATATAATTCATATAACATACAGTATATTTGTTAACCAAATGTTTATCAGTAAGGCTTCTGGTCAACATTGAGCTATTAATAGTTAAGTTTGGGGAAATCAAAAGTTTTATGTGGTTTTTTGACTATGTGGGTTCTTGGTGCCCCTAAACTTCATGTTGTTCAGGGGTTAACTGTACACATACATCTTTCTCTTTCTCTCCTTTTCTCTGTCTCTCCACCCACACATTTATATATGTATATATAATATACATATATATATACATATATATGTATATATTATATATACATATATATGTATATATTATATATACATATATATGTATATATATAATATACATATATATGTATATATATGTATATTATATATACATATATATACATAATATACATATATATACATATATATGTATATATAATATATACATATATATGTATATTATATAATATATATTATATGTATTTTATATATATATATATATATATATGATATGGCTTCCGGGTTCTTGATGAAATCCCCAGCTCCTCTGTCTGATACTCTTGAATATAGTGTTCACTGGAGCTGTCATAGGTCCTCAGTCAACAGCAGAATGCTTGGGGACTTGCTGTCTCCTGCCCTCCCCTTGCTCCCACCCACAGCAGATTTGAAACCCCCTCTCATGCTAATGCCGTGCTTGCTTTTACTCCTAGATGCTGTGAGAATGGGTAGCCATCGAAAGCAATTCTGTTCATCAGACAAGAGTTCTTGCTATTTACACCACATCTGCAGTGACTTCCTCCACTGAAGTATTGAACCTTTAAAGTCATCCATGAAGGTTGAAATCAACTTCTTCCAAACTCCTCATAGGATTGATATTTTGACCTCCTCCCATAAACGACAAATTTTCTGAATGTCATCTAAAATGGCAATTTTTTTCCAGAAGGTTTTCAACTTTGCCCAGATCCATTAGAGGAATCACTGTAGCAGTTATATCCTTAATAAATGTATTTGTAAAATAATAATACTTGAAAGTCAAAATTACTCCTTAACTGTGGGCTACAGGATAGATGTTGTGTTAGCAGTCATGAAAAAAACATTAATCTCCTTGAACATCTTCATCAGAGCTCTTGGGTAACCAGGTGCATTGTCAGTGACCAGGAATATTTTGAAAGGAATTTCAAAAGGTCTCAACAGTAAGGCTTAAAATATTCAATAAACCATACTGTAAACAGATGTGTTGTCATCTAGGCTTTGTTATTTCATTTCTAGAACAAATGCAGAGTATATTTAGCATAATTCTTAAGGACCCCAGTATTTTCAGAAGGGCTAATGTGTATCGTCTTCATCTTAAAGCCACCAACTGTATTAGCTCCTAAAAAGAGAGTCAGCCTGTTCTTTGAAGCTTTGAAGCTAGGCATTGACTTCTTCTCTCTAGCTACAAAAGTTCTAGAGGGCATCTTCTTCCAATAGAAGGCATTTTGGTCTACATTAGAAATCTGTTGTTTAGTGTAGCCATGTTCATCAATTATCTTAGGCAGGAGAACTTCAGCTGGAGAACTTGCTGTAGCTTCTTGCACTTGCTTCACTTGCACTTTTAGGTTGGAGACGGTTTTATAAAGATAATTTATTTTCTTAAATCCCATGAATCAACACCTACTAGCTTTAAACTTTTCTCTTCAGCTTCCTCACCACTCTCAGACTTCATAGAATTGAAGAGGTTAAGGCCTTGTTCTGGATTAAGCTTTGGCTTAAGGAAATGTTGTGGCTGATTTGATCATTTTTATTCAGACCACTCAAAATTTCTCCATTAAGCCATAGGCTGTTTTGCTTTCTTATAATTTGTGTGTTCACTGGAGTCACACTTTTATTTTTTAGAGACAAGTTCTTGCTCTATTGCCCAGGCTGCAGTGCAGTGACACAATCATAGCTCACTGCAACCTTGAACTCCTGGGCTCAAGTGATCCTCCTGCCTCAGCCTCCCAGGTAGCTGGGACTATAGACATGCACCACCATACTTGGCTTATTTTTTTTAAATAAGTCTTCACTATGTTGCCCAGGCTGGTCTTGAACTCCTGGTCTCAAGGAATTTCCCCACCTTAGCCTCCCAAAACTCTAGGATTACAGGCATAAGCCACCACACCTGTCCTGGAGTAGCACTTTTAATTTCCATCAAGAACTTTTCCCTTGCATCCACAACTTGGCTACTTGTTGCAAGAGGCCTAGCTTTCAGCCTATCCTGACTTTCAACATGCCTTCCTCACTAAGCTTAGTCATTTCTAGCTTTTGATTTAAAGTGAGAGCCATGTGGCTCTTCCTTTCACTTGAACACTTCGAGTCCATTGTAGAGCTATTAATTGCCCTAATTTTTTTATTGTTGTTTTAATATTTGCTACTACCACCAAGATCTGCGCCTGCAGTGGCTCCACCCAGGCCCATGTTCTATTAAGGGACATTGCAATGGCCCTTCTACTCATCTTGGCATAGTGTCTTTAGGCTTGGGAGATCTGAGCACTGCTCTGTCCTTCCTGCTCTAGTCCCTCTACTAGCAATGGCTGCATATTGGCTCAACTCCTCAGCACCATCCATTTTCAGGGACAGTTGAGTAGTCAGTTGAGTTGTTATACACTCCTTAGTGGATTCTGACTTCCATGGTCACTGTACTGTTGTATAATCAACTATCCTAATTTCAACATTGTTGTGTCTCAGGGAATAGGGAGGCCTGAAGTTAAGGAGAGACATGGAGCAATGATCAATCAGTTGAGCAATCAAAACACACACAACAATTATCAATGAAGTTTACTGTCTTATATGGGCATGTTTTCTGGTGCCACAAAACAATTACAATAGTAACATCAAAGGTCACTGATCACAAATCACCGTAACAGATATAATAATAGTGGAAGTTTGAAATATTGCAAGAATTACCAAAATGTGTCACAAAGACCTGATGGACTTGCTAGAGGCAAGGCTGCCAAAAACTTTCAATTTGTTAAATATGCAAAATCTGCATGGTAAAATAAAGCATAGCACAATAAAAAGAAATATGCATGTATACACTATTTATAATGTATATCCCTACATATAATATATATCAATATATAATAAATGTACGTATTGTTACATATTTGCAAATATATATGGTGAAATATATCCATGAGTTGCCAAATCTGTTTTCACAACATTATGAACCTTCAAAAACATGCCCAGCAAGGAGTCATGATGGCTGTGCATACCCACGAACAGGGTTGATTAGAAACAACTGTTTCATTTACACAACACTGGGTCATATGACAAATAAATAACAGCAACCTGCCTATTTTTAAAATTTTGACATCTTGCTTCTCATGAATTTTTTTAATTTTTGATTTTTTAAATTCATTGCCTTAACTATTATTTAGCCTGATTACTGAGTTTTTGGCACCACTTTTAAAAAAATAACTCATTTATTTTGAAATGATTTTCATTGTATATATTTATGGGGTACAACATGACTTTTTCATATATGTATACATAATGGAACAATTAATCAAAGTAAATAACATATCTTCACCTCATAAACATCTTTTCTGTGGTTAGAACATTTAAAATCTACTTTCTTAGCACTTTTCAAGTATGTAGCACATTATTATTAACTATAGTCACTCTGCTGTATAACAAAATAAATGTCCAGAACTTAATCATCTTGTTTAACTGAATCTTTCTATATTTTGACAAACATCTGTCCTTGTTCCCAGCCTATGAAAAGAATACCCTACTCTTTTGAGTTCAACTTTTTCAGATTCTACATAAAAGTGAGATCATACAGTATTTTTTTCTGTGCCTAGCTTATTTTACTTAGCATAATATCCTGCAGATACATCCATAGTATCTCAAATAGCAAGATACCCTTTTTTCTAAGGCTGAATCTTATTCCATTGTGTGTATCCGTCCCATTTTCTTTATCCATTCATCCATCAAGAGATATTATTTTATTGTCATATCTTGGCTATGAATAATAGTTCGCTATTAAGAATAATGCTGCAATGAACATGAGGCTGTAGATACCTCTGTGACATAACTGATTTCATTTCCTTTGGATATACACACAGAAGTGGAATTGCTGGATTATGTGGTAGTTTTATTTTTAATTTTTGAGAAACCTCCATACTACTTTTCATAATGGCTATACTAATTTACATTCCCACAAACAGTGTGCAAGGGTTCCCTTTTCTCTACATATTTGCCAATATTTGTCTTTTGTATTTTAATAAATGCTATTCTCACAGGTGTGAAGTGATAGCTCATTCACACCTGTGAATTTGCATTCCCCTGATGATTAGTGATGTGAAATATTTTTTTTTTTGTATACTTATTGGCCTTTTGATTCTCTTCTTTTGAAAAATATTTATTAAAGTTCTGTGCCCATTTTTTAATCAGTTTGTTTGTTTTCTTGCATAGAGTTGAGTTCCTTATATATTTTTTAAATTAACCCTTTATCAAATATATTGTTGGTATAGTTTGAATATTTGTCCCCACCCAAATTTCATGTTGAAATGTAATCCCAGTGTTGGAGTTGGACCCTGGTAGCAGGTGTTTGGATCATTGGGGAGGATCCCTCATGAATGGCTTGGGCCGTCTCTTTGGTGATAAGTGAGTTCTGGCTCTGAGTTCACATAAGATCTGGTCATTTACAACTGTACAACAGCTCCTGGCTACTCTTTCTCTCACTTGCCACTGCCGTATGGTGTTCCTACTCCCCCTTTGCCTTCCACCATGATTGTAAGCTTCCTGAAGCCTCCCCAGAGGCTGAGCAGATACCAGCACCAGGCTTCCTGTAAAGCCTGCAGAACTGTGAGCCAATTAAATCCTTTTTCTTTATAAATTACCCAGTCTCAGACATTTCTTTAGATCAATGTGAGTGAGCTAATACAATGGTTTACAAATACTTTCTCTTGTTAAACAGGTTGTCTCATGAATAGCTTGTTGAATGTTTCCTTTGGTGTGCAGAAGCTCTTTAGTTTGATGTAATCCCATTGCTTTATTTTTCCTTTTGCTGTCTGTGCTTTTGTGATAATATTCAATAAATCTTTGCTAATACCAATATCATGGAGCTTTTCCTCTAGTTTTTGCCTAGCAGTTTTATAATTGTAGGTCTTACATTTAAGTTTTTAATTGATTTTTTATGTGGGATGAGTTTCATTCTTTTGCATGTGGTAATCCAGTTTATTAAAGAGACTGTTCTTTCCCCATTGTGTGTTTTTGGCACCTTTATCAAATATCAATTGACTATAGAATGTGGGTTTATTTCTGGGTTCTCTATTCTGTTCTATTTTTCTATACATTTGTTTTGGTGCCGCTACCATGCTGTTTTGATTATTATAGCTTTGTAGTTGACTTTGAGATAAATTGGTGTGATGCCTCCAGCTTTGTTCTTTTTGGAAAAAATTTTTGAGTATGCAGGGTCTTTTCTGGCTCCATGGAAATGTTAGAAATGCTTTCTCTATTTTTTCTGAAAAATGATATTGGGGTTTTTTGGGGGACTGCACTGAACTTACAGGTCACTTTGGGTTGCATGGACATTTTTGCACTGGATTTAACTGCTTCACCTGCCTTACCTTCATCTAGGCCCTAATTAGGCAAGTTACATAACTGCTCTGTACCTCAGTTTCTCCACCTAAAACTGTGTTCTTATAAAGCACTTAGAACAGTATCTGCCAGCACACAATAAGTACATAAAAGATGTTATTGTCATTATTATCATTAACATTAACCTTTTTATCTTATGTCTACTCTCATTTTCAGCAAACGTAATTTTTCTAAGTAATATCTTCCTGGAGATCTGTATCCGCTGGAGAAATGGCTCAAGGTAGTATAAACCACAAAGCAAAGATTAGGATTACACTGGTTTAATAAGAAAATATACCCATTCTTAACATGTCGTTATCATGGCTAAGAAACAGATTTTAGAATATTTGATTTTCATTAAGGCTCGTTAGCCATAGAGCCTGGCAATTCAGTAATAAACCCTGACATAGCTAAGAGAAGAACAGAGGAATCAGTCTCTCTTTTTGAGAACATTCTTTGAATTGATTCCTTTTCGATATTCTTAAAGAATATGTTGACTCAATTAATTGTTATTTCTCTGATGTAAAGATGCTAGAGAACGGAGTGTGAAAGCAAGAAAATGACACACTGAAAGAAGACAGTCAAGGTCTGGTGCTTCTTCTGGGTACTAGCTATCTCTCCCTGCCCCTGCTAGCCCAGCTCAGTGATGTCAGAGCCCGGCTATGCCTCTGCCACAGGAATTAGAATTCAAGTCCCTCCCCTATTGGGAAAACAGGCTCTCTGTACTTATGACATGATTATCAGCATGACAGAAACACTTTGTGTTATGTCAATAAGATATTATTTTTCCAATAGCTTCAACAGGGAAATATATTATTCTTAAAAATTTAGACAGAAATAAAAATCCTATTTATGTTTTCTGGCAGACCTTATTTCTCTATTTATTTGTACTTTGAATAGCAGAGTTCCCTTTCATGAATATTCTAATCAGATTGAAGATATCATCCATAGCAGAGAGTTCCCACAAATGGCAGTACCAAGTATAGTAGAGCAACAGATATCTGCCTTTGGCAGCAGGTGAAAGTTCTGTTTTTCACAAGTAGTTCCTATGCATCTTGGGTACTCATATCAAGAACCTCAGACAATTTTAAACAAAGAAGAGCTGTCATGTTTTGCCTCCACATTTGCTGTTACATCAGGCTGAGTTTTATAGTCTCTGGCTGTTCTTTCAGTAATTAGTTCATTTAAATATATGAAAAATGTAAATTAGGATTCTACTGTTTCTAAAAGAATGAGCTAACTTTGTGAATGACTGAATAAATGAATGACCCATTGACAGAAAGAGTACAAAATGTCTGACATGTTTTCTTATTTTTGACAACCCCAGTTAATCTTCCATGGCAATAAAACTTGTTCAGTGAAAAAGACTATTTTTTTCACTTGTAAAAATAAAATTAGCCTAAAATGTCACTGGAACATTTTTGAACTGGGGAAAACATGCCAGCTTGAAGAAACTTTTTTCTGTCAAATATTTGGTTGGGAGAAATGACAGAACCAGCCAATACTGAAAAGCTCCCCATTTTAAAATAATAGACTAAATCTTCTAAAAATACGAAAGTGTATCAATTACCTTTAACTAATTATTAAACAATTAGCCATTTATATTAGAGTCACTCAGTACAGGTCTTAAAGAAGATGTGCCCTATTGATAATGCTTAACACTGTTTCTTGGACTGTGGCAGATAATGACTTGAGATTTTTAAGGCATAAGAAATTCTATAGCAGATTAAACATGTTTTATCTTCTTTATCCATTTAAGGTAAAAAAGAAAAAATGTATACACTGCTCTCCATGTGACAAATATATACTTTGAGGATTTTGTGATAATTACATCATAATCTCCATCCTCAACTGAATTATAGTTCAAAGGATGAAATACCCAGGCCGTCACAGGGCCACTGAATAAGTGCTGAGATAGGCCTAGGGGAAACCTAGCCTTGGAATGAGACGTTGAGGAAAGCTTTTTTGGTATATGTGGTGACTAGAAGAACCATAACTAAGGAGGAGTTAATTATAATCCTTCATAAGTAGATAAGAATATCCCTGAAGATTTCAAACTGTGTAAAATATGCCAAATTGTGGTACCTGCTATAATTACAGATCCTTTTAAGAGAAATTATCCCAAACCACTTCTCCATGTTATAGCTCATGACTGAAGGGCAGCCATTTCTTGGGCTCTTATCTAGTCATCTGCCCAGCCTTAAAGGTTTGACCTCTGCAATAGCGATATGATAAGTAAATCATAATAATGTTCTTTAAAAAGTAAGAGTTGGCAGTTTTGGCTGAAGTCCAAAGAATGCCTTGAGAAAGGCAAAGAGGTAGAATGGAAGATACACATAATGTGAGGTTCTAAGGAAACAGGTAATAGCAGTAGACTCTCCCTGTAGATACCATGTTGAAGATGCAGCAGTCAAGAGTAATAGGGAAGCAACTACGTTAGGGGAAGAGAAGCAGAATTGGAAAAACAATTCCTAAGTCAAAGGCAGAAGAAAGGAAGAAAAGTCCTGTTTCCAAGATCTCAGCTATGGGTCAAGCTTCAGTTTCCATAAGGCCCTCTCCCTTTAAATCTCTCACATTTCTTGAATCCCTGCCTTCCTTACTCATCACTAAAGTAATTTTCCATTATTTAAAATAATATGAGTGTCTGTCCCTTGCAGCCAAATGGATCTAACTGCAACAGAAGTTATCAACCTTGTTTATATCTACAGAAAAATGTTTTAAGATCCCAAAATTATTCATAATAATTTAGTAAAAATACTTGCCAAGGAAAGGGGGCAAAAGCTTAAAACAGTAAATATGTGGGACAAGACTATATAACTTAAATATTAAGTGAAATTACTGGTATTCAATTTTATTTATAAAAGAGGAGAAGAGGAAACACAACTCTTGCTAATATCCTGCTGTGCACACTGACACTTAAATGCATGTGGAAAAGCCATGTGTCTACATTGAGTTTCTGCTCACTAATCAAAACTGCTGTGCATCACCTCAGAAAATGGCTCTGCAGTCCTTCAGGCCAATCTACATAACTTTAACAATTTTCATGGTTAAGTGACTCAGAGCAGATCTTTTCCCTAGTCATTTTAGAATCTTCATCGAGTTCCTCGCTTTAGTAGACAAAGCCAGGCCCACTCTGTGTTGCTTCATTATTCAGTCCTAAAGGATAAGAAAACAGTGATTAAGCAACTTGTGTATTATGTTCTGGGCCCTCTCCATAGGCCATCTTATTTAATCTTAACAATAGCTTGGTGAATTTAGGTTACCCTTCCTTGGCAGATAAGAAAACTGACATCAGAAATTTGCCCAAAGGTCACACCATTGGGATTTGAATTCAAGTTTGTCTGACTCTAAATCACCTATTCCATGCTCTCACCCAAACCCACAAAGATATTTTCTATTCTCATGTTTGGTTTGTTCCCCAGCTAACTCTTTTACCCTGACACACTAGAGACAAGGACACCAAGAACTTCAGATGCTACAGTGGGTAAGATAGGCACAACCATGATACTGAAGAAGAAACTGTTAGAAAAACAGACTAGATAACGGTTAGCTGTTCTCAATAGACTCTTCTGGTGTGATTTATCTATTTTTTTCTATAGAAATACTCATCTAAGAAGTTAATATTCACAATCTAACAGAAGTCATTGGCCAGTCACAAGTTAAAAAATGCATATCTTACTTCCTTAACATTCAGCCTTTTTCTTCCTTTTTTAAGTAGAGGGGAAAAAGAATAGGGAAGTTTTTCGCCTCCACTTTTTCCATTTTACATTGACAATATCCTTATGTTTGTTTCTCATTATCCACAGAGTCGGGGTGGGGGCAGGCAAGAGAGAGAGATGATTAATCTTGTTCCAGCCTATCTTTAAAACCCACTGTTCTGGTTAGTTATTGCTGTGTAACAAAAAATTCAAAACTTAGTTACATTTTTTTAAAAATCCACTTTTATTAGGCTTACAATTCTGTGGGTCAAGAACTTTGTCAGGGTTCAGTGATGACAGCTTGTCTTTGTGCCATGATGTCTGGGCTTCAGCCAGGGTAGTTCAATTGTCAGGATATGGTGGAAAACCATGTGTTTTGGACCTCAGTACTGTTCCATGTGGCATCTGCTGGGTCTGGAATGTCCAGAATGGCTTCTTCACATTCATAGCTAGTGTCTAGACTTGGATGTCAAAACAACTGACAGTTAGCCAGTATTGCTTTCTTTAAAAAATATACTGTCTTCACATTTTAAATGGCTATTTTGGATTTCCTCATAGCATGGAAGTCTCAGGGTGGTCAGACTGCTGATGTGGTGTTCCGCTTCTCCTAAAGAGAACACTTCAAGAGACAAGAAGTAAAATCTAGCAGATTCTTAAGGTCTGAGTGCAGAAATGCATGAGGTTTAATGTCTACTTTATCCTGTTAGTCAAAGTAGTCACAGAACACACTCAGATATGAAGAGAGATGACATGAACTACTGGGAGGGATATAAAATTGCATGTTTTCCATCTGCCACACCTTATCTCCTGCATCTTTCCTCTCCTTTCTCCCTGTGTCACTATTAGCATGAAGTCCTTATTTAATGAATATTTTTATTATTTTTTTAAATTAAAGACCTACTCTGTACTACCTACTGTGCTTATATAATAAGGAAACAAATAACATACATAATAGTGGTTCTACTCCTTACTAACGTGCTGTGAAAAAAAAATTTACTAACTGAGCAATTCACTTCTTCTCTGATCCATTTTTGTCAGTTGTAATAAATGTACCTCACAGAGATGTTTTGACAATCAAATGAAATAAGACAGGTAAATTGCCTAACACAGTACCTGAAACATATTCAACAGTGAGCAGTCAAATTTCCCTTTCCTAAATTAAGATAATTATGGTTAATGTGTATAGTTTAGATATGCATATATGTGTTTTAGGGGAGGAGAAAAAATGAAAGTAAAATTCTATTCTGTCAATGCCAGTAGCATAACAGAAATAGAATATTTTGTGCTCCATTTCTGGGAAGTGTGGAGTGGTGATGGATAGGTTTATTTTGGGAAACTGAGAACCTAGCAAGTCTACCATCATTTAACAGCGGACAGAGAAGCAACTTAGGAAAATACTCAAGTAGTAATAATTAGTTAGGCCTAATGCGCTACTTTGTCCTACACACAGTTCTCTTCTCATTTATGGCAGTCTTCCTTGTGTTATAGCAATGTTTGATCATAAGTGAGTACAAACATTTTTATACCACATTATTACCATTTAAAGAATAAGACTTCTATTCAATTCACTTTTGTTTTACATTCTATAGCACTTATCGTAGTAGTTTGCACATAGTAAGTACTCAATAATTAATTGATCAAACAAATCAAAGGGTAATAGTGACAGTAGACTAATAATATAGAGATTTTGCGTTTTTAGTATATGTTCAGTTCAATGCTTGTTCCTATTAACAATAGGTACTCTAATGTAACCATGTTAATTTATATTTTAAAAGTTTAGGTATAAAATAAATTTCTCTCTTAAAGGGCAAAAAGAGGTTGAACCTAGACATATCTAAACAGAGGCCAGCTGACAATATGTTAGGAATATTAAGAAGGAATCCCTTCCATTGTTGGGCATGCAGTGGCTGTAATTCTATACAAAAATCACAACGCACTAAGTGCTGGACAAAATATAAAATGTAAACATAGTTCCTGCCTTATAAATATCTAAAATAAGTTACACTAAAAATTATCCTTTTATTTAACTAAAACATAGTTCACCTACCAGGAACAAGATGATTAATGTACAAGAAACTGCTAAAAGCCTTGGAATGGCTGTGTTCCAATTACCGAAATATGATCATGAGCCTAAAATACAAATAGAATTGCATATAATCAAAGGATGTTATGGCAGTATTTTCTATTTGAATCCAGATTTTCAGAAACTAGGTCAATTGTAGCTAGGAGCTTTTCTATTAGGTCCAAAGGAACTTACTTAAATCTGTCACTGTTAGTTTTCATAAGTGAAAAATGCCTTAATCTGCTGTCTACTTACCTTTAGATAAACTATCCAAATGTTGCCAAAACTACTATAACTGAAAATTTATATGTATAAAGAAATATCTATAATCCTAATCAAAGGATTAATTTACACCTTTGAAAAACAATAACAAATTAGAATGGAAAGAAAAGTTTATGAAATATTTCATGTGACCATGATACCTAACAAACCTAAAACTATGATTACTAAGTGCCAGCTCCATTTAATAATATAAGAAAAGTGTCTTTTATTGATAATACAAACAGTTTGGTTTCCTTGGCTATGTAAAACAGAATTCAACCATTAACTCCCTTCTAGACATCAAGAAGAAAAATGATGTGGCTTGAAATTGATTTCTGAAAAGCAAGAGGGAAACCACACATCTGAATGAACAACAAAAAAAATTTAAGATTAAAAATGTATAAACATTGGTGTTGTAACAAAGGTGGATTGAATTGTGGGCCGCTCTCCACTTGGTAGCTGAAACCATTTGATACCTATGTTCTTAAAATGCAGACAATCATTCCATCAAATTATAAGATAATTTAGAGACAATAATGAGATGAATGAGGTATAACTAAGTAAAATGTTAGTTATGTTGTTGGAAAAACTAGATCAGTATATGTAAAGCAATTAGAAAATGTAGAATAGTTTGTTACTCAGTGCTGAACTATCTGGTATAGATTATAGGTCTCTAGGAGTTCAAACAAGGGAAGGATTAATGTAGCATAACATGATTTTGCAAGATTGCAGAGATTTGAACTCTGAGTCCTAAAGGGTAATTAGGATTTGGAAAGGAAAAAGATTAAAAGAAATGCTTTTATACATTTACCAGATAGAAAGATTATATGGGAAAAAGAAAAGGTAAATAATTTTATTACGTACAATGTGTTGGTTTCTTATCAGTAAAATAGGAATCAATTGTATAAAATTGTTTTGAAAATTTGAAGTGATAATATGCATAAAGAATTCATATTAAGCCTGAGACATTAGCCTAAGAACTTAAATAAAATACTTTTTAAACATACACCTAAGAACTTAATAAAAAGGATTGCTTAACAAGAGTTTGTCAGTTAAAAATTAAATTAATAAGAGCAAACAGTGTTAACTGGTTGCCACACACCGAAAAAGCAAATAAGTGTTCTATTAGGTAGCTTAGTTTTCTGTTCCTGGAAATGACGAAAACCATTTGGTTACTTATTAAGGGGAATATGAAGCAATGTTATATTGTGGAAGTTGATGTGATGAATTCCTACTAGCTCTTCCTTTAATCTTTCAGTTTTCAAGTTAGCATGGCTCTATCATGGATTAACCTGAGGTTTCTGAGGAATATGAACCATCTTTTATCTCTAGAATATAAGAAAATGGTAATTCTTGTTATTACAAACTTCCTCAGAAACTTGCAGAGTATTTACTTTGCTGAAATTTGGCTACGTGTGTATTTGTATGTACATACGCATGTGTGGGGGTGGATATGTGAGTTGTGGTTTTTTAAAAATACTTATTGTCTGAATGGGGCTGAACATAACTTTCTCGGAAAGAAATTTTATTTTTATTTTTCTACTTACAAGAGAGAAGTTTTTCTAATAAAACTTTAGTATATATTATTTTATAGTACCAAATAATTAATAATAATCCACGATGGAAAAAATCCTAAACAATACTTTTGTTAAATTAATTTGAAATGTATATAAAAAGAATGTTCTAGGCTAAAATATCTACAATGTTTTTTCTTTAAAGGGCCAGATGGTAAATATTTTAGGCTCTGTGAGCTATATGGGCTCTGTTGCAACTACTGAACTCAGCCATAACCAGTTGTAGAAAACACACAGATGAATGGATATAGCAACGTTACAATAAAGCCTTACTTACAAAAGCAGGTTATAAACAGGATGGATTTGGTCCACAAGCCTTAATTAGACAACTCCTGTTCTAGGAGCACAGTTGAAAATATTTCTTATCTAAATTAAATGGCTTCTCAGATTTATAGTTTTAAAAGTTATCTACAAAATCCCCAAGGATTTTTGAGCAAAGTTTTTGTCTTTAGATACTTGCATACCAAGGGTTACCTCTGTGATAAGTTAAGACTCCCTTTTAAAAAGTAAATGCTTAGCTAAGTCTGCAGAAACTTCTTTAGAAACATGACTCTCACAATTAGACGACATAAAGAAAGAAAAACACAGCTGGATAGAATACTGTGGACTAGTAATCAATAGAATTGCTAGTTATATCGTGTGAGGACAATAGATCTTAATTTAGTTTCATTCTCTTCTTTTCACACTATATACTCACCTTTATCCTATAATAGTACATATTAAATATGTCATTGCTCAAAATCACATATTAGACACATTATATTTTTGAGTATGGTTTGGTTGTTATAATTTAAACGTTTCATTATGTCAAACAATCTTTAAAGCTCCCTTATCCTACTTTTTAGGTTATGAGAATTTATAGCATCTTTTTCTGTCCCTCCTAACACAGAACCACAGGTTACCAGGATCTTAGCAAAAGCTTTCTCAGTGTGATGAGGTAGGATTTTCATTTGAACTAAAAATTAGATCTCATCGAATAGAGCATATTGAATAGGATAAAGAAGATCTGTCTCTCACTTCTGGACAAGAGAAAACACTTAATGTTATATACTTCTGCCATTTGAAATTATATTATTACATCTTAGAAATATATTAACCAATTGTCTGCTCTTGACACAAAGATTTTTTCCAATTATTTGCTATTTCAAATGATGTTATGATGAATATTTAAGAATAAATATGTAAGTACTTAGGAAAATTCCTGGAAATAGAATACATCCAACTAGCAATTTGAGTTTTTTCCTCAAAACTGTGGATTGGTCTAGGATATTAGTGTTTTAATTAATTTGGCCATTTTAATATGTAACAGTATTATAATTCAATGTTGTTTTAACCTATATTTTATAAAGTTTAAACATTTTTATGTTTATTTACCATTTGTATTTAATATTTAAAACTTTATTATTTCAACCAATATTTGTCATTGTCTACTTCTGCTAGAAACATTAGAGGGTATTTGAGAATACAAGGTTGATGTCCTCTGAGAACATATGTATCTGTCAATCAGTTAATGGACCTTTACTGAAGGTCTTCAAGGCACTGAGTATATAGAAATGAAGTAAAAAGGCCAGGCACAGTGGCTCATGCCTATAATCCCAGCACTTTGGGAGGTCAAGGTGGGTGGATCACTTGAGGCCAGCAGTTTGAGACCAACCTGGCCAACATGGTGAGACCCCATCTCTACTAAAATACAAAAAATTAGCTGGGCATGGTGGCATGTGCCTGTAGTCCCAGCTACTTGGGAGGCTAAGGCAGGGGAATTGCTTGAACCCTGGATGTGGAGTTTGCAGTGAGCCGAGATTGCACCACTGCACTCCAACCTGGTGACAGAGCAAGACTCCACCTAAAAAAAACAAAAAAGGAAAGAAAAGAAATAAAGTAAACAGAAAAAGTCTTTGTCCCAAGGAGGAAGGAGAAAGATATTAAATATATATGTTAATGTATCATACATTTTTTAGATACTAATTATTTGAAAAAACAAGAGCAATATGACAGAGAATTATAAGGAAGTTTAGAGGGAAAAGCTTGTTTACTTACATGGGCCTGATGAGGTAGCATTGAAGTTAAGACCTCAGTGATAAAAGGAAAGTCATGGTGTCTGGAGGGTCTTTAAGCCTAATGCAAAAGCAGTTATAAAAGGTTGTGATATAGGAATGAATTTACTGTCCTGGAGGATTGGGAAAACAATCAATGAAGCTAGAGTATGAAGCTGTGATTGGAGGGAAATAAAATCAGAAGCTAAGAAGTAACTGGATCATGCAGAATCCTATAAGCCAAATAAGAAGTTGGAATTTTTTTTAAGCTTAATAGAGAGCTACTTAAGGTTGAGTAAGCAAATGATCAGTAACTTCTTGATAAATTGTTAGAAAATAGGGTAAAATGAGTAGAAGCCTTGATGAAGTAGCAGATCCAGTGGACAAAATAATAGATAAAGCTAAAGAAACAAGACTAGTCTGAATGCTTTAACAAGAAATGAATAAAAAAATAATGAACAAAACCTAAAAAACTATGGGATTCTTATGTAAAGAGACCAAACCTATGGCACAATGGCATTCATGAAAGAGTGGGAGAGAGATCAAGCAACTTGAAAAACGTATTTGAGGATGTTGTCTTTTTTCATTTTAGTCTGACTGAGTTGTTTCGAAGAACCAGTCTTCAAGTTCTGATATTCTTTCTTCATTTTGACCTATTCTGCTATTAATAGTTCCAATTGTACTAGAAAATTCTCAAAGTAAGTTTTCAGCTCTATCATATCAGTTTGGTTCTTTCTTAAAGTGGCTTTTTTGTTTTCCAACTTTTGTATTATTTTACTGGATTCCTTAGACTCCTTAGTTTGGGTTTCAACTTTTTCCTGAATCTTGAAGAAGATCATCAAAATTCTATCCAGAATAGAATATTCTGGATATTCTATTCTATCTATGTCTATCTTTTCAACCATTTCAGCCTGGTTAAGAACCATTGCTGGATACTTAGTGTGGTCATTTGTAGGTAAGAAGACACTGGCTTTTTGAGCTGCCAGTGTTCTTGCACTGGTTCTTTCTCGTCAAGATGGGCTGATGTTAGTTTAATCTTTGAAGCTGCTATCATATTTGAGGATATTGTCCACAAAAATATCTCCAAACTCACTGGAGAAATTGATATCAAAATTCAGGAAATCCAGAGACCCCTGTGAGACACTATACCAGATGACCATCCCCAAGATACATAGTCAACAGATTCTCCAAGGTCAACATGAAAGAAAAAATATTAAAGGCAGCTAGAGAGGAAGGGCAGGCCGCCTATAAAGGGAACTCCATAAGGCTAATGGCAGACTTTTCAGCAGAAATGCTACAAGCCAGAAAAGATTGGGGGCCTATACTGAGTATTCTTACAGAAAAAAAAAAATGCTAACCAAGAATTTCATATCTGGTCAAACCAAGATTCATAAATAAAGGAGAAATAAAATGCTTTTCAGAATAGCAAATGCTAACTTAATTCATTACTACCAGATCTGCCTTGGAAGAGGTCCTGAATGGAGTGCTAAACATGGAAACTAAAGAATGCTACTGACCACCACAAAACACACTTAAGTACATAGACAATGAGACTATAAAGCAACTACACAATAAATCTGCATAACAATCAGCTAACAACATGGTAACAGGATCAAACCCACACATAGCAATATTAATCTTAAATGTAAATGGGCTAAACTCCACTTAAAAGGCACAGAGTGGTAGATGAATAAAGAAGCAAGACCTGACTGTACGCTGTCTTCAAGAGACTCATCTCACATGCAATGACACTCATAAGCTCAAAGTAAAGGGACGGAGAAAAATCTATCAAGGAAAAAAAAGAGCAGGGAATGCTATTCTAATTTCAGAAAAAAATAAACTTTAGACCAACGAACCAATGATAATCGGGAAAGACAAAGAAGGACAATACACAACGTTAAAGGGTTAAATTAAATAGACTTAAGTATCTTAAATACATATGAATTTAATGCTGGAGCACCCAGATTAATTAAACAAGTTCCTAGAGACCTACAAAAAGACTTTGATAACCTCAAAATAATAGTAGGAGTATTTAATACCCTGCTGGCAGTATTATACAGAACACTGAGGCAGAAAACTAACAAACACACTTGGAACCTAAACTCAACCCTTGATCAAATGCACCTAACAGATGTCTACAGAACAGTCCACCCAAAAACAACACAATATACGTTCTTCTCATCTGTACATGGCACATACTCTAAAATAGATCACATGCTCAAACATACAACAATTTACAACAAATTAAAAAAAAATACCAACCACACTTTCAGACCACAGCACAGTAAAAATAAAATTAATACAGAGAAGATTTCTAAAACCCCAAAATTACATGGAAATTAAACAACCTGATCCTGAATGACTTTTGGGTAAACAATGAAATTAAGTCAATTGTTAATAACTTTTTTGAAACTGATGAGAACAAAGATACAACACATCAGAATGTCTGGAACAAAGCTAAAGCAGTGATAAGAGGACAGTTTATAGTAATAAAACACCCATATCAAAAAGTTAGAAATATCTCACATTTACAACCTAACATCACACCTAGAGGAACTAGAAAAAACAAGAGCAAACCAACTCCAAAACTAGAAGAAGAAAAGAAACAACCAAAATGAGAGCTGAAATAAATGAATCTGAGATGTGAATAACCATACAAAAATCAACAAACCCAAAACTTGGTTCTTTGAAAAAATAAATTAGATGGATAAACCATTAGCTAGAATAATGAAGGAAAAAGAGAAGATCCAAATAAACATAACCAGAAAAGACAAATGGGACATTACCATCAACCCCACAGAAACACAAAAATCTCTCAGAGACTATCATGAACACCTCTATGCACATGAACTGGAAAACCTAGAGGAAATGAATAAAGTCTTGCAAACATACAATCTCCCAAGATTGAACCAGGAAAAAATTGAAACCCTGAACAGACCAAAAATGAGTTCTGAAATGGAACCAATTATAAAAAGCCTACCAACAAAAAAAAAGCCCTGGACCAGATGGATTCAAAGCCAAATTCTACCAAATATATAAAAAAGAGCTGATATCAATCTTACTGATACTACTCCAAAAAAATTGAGGAGATGTGACTCCTCCCTAACTCATTTTATGAGGCCAGCATTATTCTGATACAAAAACTTGACAGATACACAACAACAAAAAATAAAACTTCAGGCCAATATACAGGATGAACATAGATGCAAAACTCCTCAACAAAATACTGGCAAACCAAATCCAGCAGAACACCAAAAAGAGAATTCACTAAGATCAAGTAGGCTTTACCCCTTGATGTAAGACTAGTTTAACACACATAAATCAAAAAATGTGATTCATCACATAAACAGAACTAAGAACGAAAAACACATGATCATCTCCATACATGCAGAAAAGGCTTTCAATAAAATTCAACATTCCTTCATGCAACAAACCTTCGACAACTGGGAATTGAATCACATACATCAAAATAATAACCATCTATGACAAACCCACAGCCAACATCATACTGAACAGGAAAAAGTGGGATGCAGTCTCCTTGAGAACTGGAATAAGATAAGGATGCCCACTCTCACCATTCCCTTTCATCATAGTACTGGAAATCCTAGCCACATAAATCAGGCAAGAGAAAGAAATAAAAGATATCTAAATAGGAAGAGAGGAAGTCAAATTATCTGCCTTTGTAGACACATGATTTTATACCTAGAAAACCTCATAGTTGCTGCTCGAAAGCTTCTAAATCTGATAAACAATTTTAGCAAAGTTTCAGGATACAAAATTAATGTACAAAAATTAGTAACATTTCTATACACCAACAATGTCCAAGCTAAAAGCCAAATCAAGAATACAATCCTATTCACAGTAGCCACATACAAACAAAATATCTAGGAATACAGCTAACCATGGAGGTGAAAGCTCTCTACAATGAAAATTACAAAATGCTGCTGAAATAAATCAAAGATGACACAAATAAATGGAAAAATATTGCATGCTTATGGAAAGGATGAATTAATATTGTTAAATGGCCATACTGTCTAAAGCAGTTAACAGACTCAATCTAGTCCTAACAAACTACCAATGACATTTTTCACAGGAATATTTAAAAAATTCTAAAATTCATATGGAAGCAAAAATAACCCAAATAGCGAATGCAATCCTAAGTAGAAAGAACAAAGCTAGAGGCATCACATTATCTGACTTCAAACTATACTATGAGGTTACAGTAATCAAAACAGCATGGTAGTGGTACAAAAACAGACACATAGACCAATGGAACAAAAGAGAGAGCCCAGAAATAAGGCCACACATCTACAACCATCTGATCTTCAAGAAAGCTAACAAAAACAAGCAAAAGAGGAAGGATTCTCTATTCAATAAATGATGCTGAGATAGCTGGTTAGTCATATGCAGAAGATTGAAACTGGACACCTTCCTTACACCATATACAAAAGCAACTCATGAAGGATTAAAGACATAAATGTAAAGCTTGAAACTATAAAACCCTAGAAGAAAACCTAGGAAATACCATTCTGGACATAGTTCCTGGCACAGATTTCATGAAAAAGACACCAGAAGCAATTGTAGAGAAACAAAAATTGACAAATGGGACCTAAAGAGCTTCAACGCAGCAAAAGAAACTATCAACAGAGTAAACAGACAACCTATAGAATGGAAGAAAATATTTGCAAACTATGCATCCAACAAAGATCTAATAGCCAGAATCTATAAGGAAGTTAGACAAATTAAGAAGAAAGAAACAAACAACCTCATTAAGCAAACACTTTTCAAAAGAAGACATACATGCAGCCAACAAGCATATGAGAAAATGCTCAACATCACTAGTCATTGCATATCAGCACCACAATGAGGTACCATCTCACATCAGTTAGAATGGCTATTGTTAAAAAGTCAAAAAATGACAGATGCTGACAAGGTTGCAGAGAAAAGAGAACACTTATATGCTACTGGTGGGATTATAAATTAGTTCAGCCACTGTGGAATGCAGTTTGGAGATGTCTCAAATAACCTAAAACAGAACTACCATTCGACCCAGCAATCCCATTACTGGGTGTATATCCAAAGGAAAATAAATCCTTCTGTTGTAAAGACACATGCATGCATATGTTCACTGCAGCTCTATTAACAATAGCAAAGACATGGAATCAAACCTAAATACCTATCAGTGGTGGGCAGGATAATGAAAATGCGGTTCATATATACCATGGAATACAATGCCATTAAAAAAGAGTAAAATCATGTCCTTTGTGGCAACATCAATGGAGCTGGAGGTCATTATCATAAGTGAATTAATGCAGAATCAGAAAACAAAATATTCTATGTTCTCTCTTATAGTAGAGCCAAACATTGAGTACACATAGTCACGAACATGGGAAAAATAGACACCAGGGCCTATCTGAGGGTGGAGAGTGGGAGGAGGTTGAGGATTGAAAAACTATCTGTTGGGTCCTATATTTACTAACTGGTTGATGAAATAATCTGTACATCAAACCCCCAAGACACACAATTTACCCATTTAACAAACCTGTACCTTTACCCCTGAACTTAATATAAAAGTTGGAAAGAAAAAAAAAACTAAAAAAAAAAAAAAAAAGATAATCCCTCAAGGGAGCCAATTAGAATAAAAATTCATTACACATTGATGGCATAAAAGAGTGATCAATTTTTAGTATAGTGTTGAGAATACCATCTTATCTGCTGTTTTATATTAAGTGGGTGCTAGTAGAGTAAGCAACCTCAACTTGATGGCCTATAGTTGTAACGACGTATTTGGGGAACAAGCACATTTTCTGAATAACAAGAATGAGTGGTATGTTCTGTGATGAGACTGAAGAATGAAGGGAACAAATTTCCCTGAGAACAGATGTGACTGAGACACTTTTTTGAGGGGTTGGAGTTGATGAGAGTAAGGAAGATATCTCACATTTACAACCTAACATCACACCTAGAGGAACTAGCAAAAATCATAGTATTATGGAGTTTTTGAAATACTAAAAATGAGAACATTGATCTTAGAACAAACAAGGGTGATTAATACTTTAAGAAATTACACATAATTAGTTGTACTTAATCTACAGACAAATTAAAAAATATATATTCTGCCCCTTTCTATCCAACAGTAAGCTTCTTGAGGAGAGGGATTATTTCTTCTTTGTTTTATAATTCCAGCACCAACCATTGTCTGCTAAATGCTTCAGTGATTTTTAGTAAATACTGAATGAATGAAGAAAAGCCTAAATCCTTTCAGTACTAAGGAGTATCGAAGTTCAAGTGGTGTAAGAATTAGTTTATGGATACGGGATATGATCATCTTTGATCAGGGTTCCAAACAAAAGTTATGTCACCTTCAAATAATCCGTAAATACAATAATCATCTGATGGTGATCCCAGGACTCTCATTTCATGGTGAAAACATGATTTTTGCTAACTCCATAATACTATGATTTTGCAGAATTCTACACTGAATTCTGGGCTAGTTAATAGAATCAAGAAGCTAATGAAATGTGTATTTTTGAAAGGGACCTTTGTGTAATAGGAATTCTTCTAAGACAAATCCTAAATACACCTGAATAAGGGCCCAGGTTCTTCAGCCCATTCCCTCTCCTTACAATGCAAATGTTCCCTTATGTTATTTTAGGATGGCTTGGTTGGTCCCTATTCAGAGCAAACTGAGTAAAGTTGTTTGCTTAAAATGTATGCTGGACATGTCAGAAGTAGTCAGGTTTTGTCATGCACTCGTTTTATGACAGATCCAGGCCACAGACACGAAGCTTGGCAAGTATCTTATAAATTATAGCTGTGCTGAAGCCTACAGCAATAGCTCTTAACTCAGGCTCACCTACCAAATATTCTTGCAAAAACAAAAATGATACAGTGAAATAACACAGGAATGTAAAACGCAATTTCTTCAACATCTAAGTACCAAGCATCCAATAGGAGTCTCAGATTTTTTAATAATCTGTTTTATTTTCTTTCCCAACAAACCTAAAACTGTAACATAGAAAACCATGTTATATTACGTAATGCTTTTCTTTAAAGTTTAACAGCCTTAATTTTATAGTCCTAGCACAGTTTTTATTTCACAAAATTTTATCCCCAAAAGATTGGACACTAAATCATTCTTTGTTTCATAATGAGTAACGATTTCATAATCTTGAGATTCTAAATGAAAATGTTCTGCATTATTTAGATCTACTTTGTAAGACGGCAAGTAGGAAAGGACTCTCATTATTTGGAAGACGAATTTATTTCTCTATACTCACTAATTTAGAAAAATCTTTCTATGTTAACTGTTTAGGCCAAGCAAGAGACTCTTTTCAGATGTTTGATTACAGTGACACTAAAGAGTCTAGTATAAATTAAATCTCAACCGGAAAGAAAAGTCTTTTTTGATAAAGACCTTTAGGTTTTACCCTAGACAGTGTGACATAAGAATCTGTGTTTAACTAGTAGATTAAATTTTCACCCTTGGATAAGAATTTATGTTAATTTGTATAGCTTCATTTAGAAGATCTTTTTAGTTTGTGCAAATTGAAAAAAAAACTCTAAGCTAATTTTTATTAGCTATTTTTTAAAATTACCAGTTTTCTTCACCTTTTCAAATTATCATAATCTTATTACATATTTCAATTAAGTTTCAAAAATTGTATATCCTTTCTAAAAAAAGTATGCCAATAAATGACTAACTTCAGTCTACCAAGAAAGATGAATTTTTCTTTTCTTCACCTATTGTTGCAGGGTATCTTCTATGGACAAACAAAGATTTTTAAATCAATTCCAAAACTCCTTAAGAAAAAAAGCATTTTCAGTTAAAATAAATCTTTGAAATCTGGTACTGAAAATACAGCTATTTAGTGGATATTGTGTGGATAAATATGAAATAATATAAGTAGTTCTAATTTTCCAGTATTGTTAACCAACATCCTCCATTCTTCCATTCTTAGTTTTGAGATAGTGACTTTCATATAAATAGTATCCTTAGTCAGGGGAACAGTTTCAATGGGTACAACAGTATTCTCATAAATAGCATTGAAGAGAACAAATTATGTCTTCATTCTGAAACATTTTATGCCAAAATAATAGTATAGACTTGGGTTTGACCTGCTTCAAAATGAAAAACACCTTCCAAAGAAAAATACTTCCAAATAGCTTCACCTTTTTTAGTGCAGCCACATAAATAAAAACAACAGTATGGAAAACAATTTAATTTTTAAAAAGAAAATAATTATTTTGCACTTTGGCTGTGATAGGGAAACTGCATCTTTGCTATTAACAACTAACCCGGATAAAATATGAAACAATGCTTCAAACATTCTGGAGAAAAGAGGAAACACATGAGGAAACCATGATATTCATGCGGTCTTTCTGTCTAAAGCCACATTCTAGAACACAAGGCATGCAAAGGGAATCCAAGCAGAGCATAATTGTATCACTAAATTTAGGATATACCGAATCAATTTTGTGAGGAGGCTGAGGCAGCTATTGTGTAAAGCACAGAAATGGAGAGGAGAGAAATATGCAGAGAAGAAAGTTCCAGGAATTTGAATAGGGGTTGCCTTGAGTCTTTGGAAGAATAATAACCTGTGTATGCTCAAGGTTAAGCTCAATGAAGCACACCAAAAACGTACCATGGAACTGTAAACTGAATACTCCCAAGGCTCTCAGAGGATGGAGAGATGCCCAAATTTTAAGCAGCTGGAGAGGAGAAACTCTAATAAACATCTAAGCATTCATTGGAAACTCCAGAAATTACACCTTAGCAGTAAATTAGCATTAGAAGTTATAGCTATTCTATATGTATCCTAACAAAGGTTAAAATTCTCAAAAAAGTAAGTTGATCCACAATTAGCTTAAAACAAAACAAAACATCCCAAATATTTCAAGAAAAAAAAAAACAAAATCCAGACATTAAATGACTTAATGTTTACAATATCCAGCAAGTAATAAAATCTTACTAGAATAAAAACAGGAAAATGTGATCAGTAGCCAGAACAATCAACCAATAGAAACAAACTCAGAAGTGACAAAGATGGTTTAAGTAACAAAAAAGAATTTTTTAATGATTAAAAAAATGCTTAATAATGTAAAGAAAAAAATGCACATGAGAACAGAAGCAAAAGATATTTAAAAAGATGCAAATGGAACTTCTAAAGATGAAAAATGTAATATACAAAAAAATTTACAAGATAGATTTAACATCAGATTAGACAATAGGGAGAAAATAAAACACTACCCAAACCAAAACTTAGAGAAAAAAGACTTTAACAAATCAATGGAGCTTAGGTGGCATGTAGGACAATATCAAGCAGTTTAAAATACATATAGTTGGAGAGGAGGAAGATAAAAAAAAATTGAAAAAATGACTGCCAGAAAATTTTATATTTATTTAGATGAACAAGAATTAGAATTCTATCAACTTCAGAAACAGTACAAACCAGAAAAAAAAGAATTTTTTAAATGCTGCCAAAAGGTAATCTGTCAAATTAGAATTCTATACCTAAAAAAGATATACGCTTAAATGAAAATCAGACCAGGCATGATCATTCACACCTGTAATCCTAGCACTTTGGGAAGCTGAGATGGAGGATCACTTGAGCCCAGGAGTTGGAGACCAGCCTGGCAACACAGTGGGACACCATCTCTACAAAAATTTAAAAATTAGCCAGGTGTGGTAGTGCTTACCTGTAGTCTTACCTGCTCTAGAGGCTGAGGTAAGAGGAAGGCTTGAGGCCAGGAAGTCAAGGCTGCAGTGAGCTGTAGCTATACCACTACACTCCAGTGGAGGTGAAAGAGGGAGACGCTGTCAAAAGAGAGGAGGAAGGAAGGAAGGAAGGAAGGAAGGAAGGAAGGAAGGAAGGAAGGAAGGAAGGAAGGGAGGGAGGGAGGGAGGGAGGGAGGGAGGGAGGGAGGGAGGGAGGGAGGGAGGGAGGGAAGGATGGAAAGAGAAAAAGAAAGACAGAAAAAAAGAAAGAAGAGAGGAAAGAAAGAAAGAATGAAAGAAAGAAAAGAAAGAAAGAGAAAGAAAGAATGAAAGGAGAAAGGAGAAAGGAGGAAGGAGGGAGGGACAGAAGGAGAAAAAAACAGAAAAGAAAGAGAGAAAGAAAAAGAAATTACAATGAAATAAAGAAACCTTCCACAAAAAGAACAAGAAAAAAGAAAAAAAAAAGTTGAGAGTATTCCTAGCTAATACACTTGAACTATAACATACTTTAAAGGAAGTCTTCTGGCCAAAGAAATATAGTTCTGCCTGAAAAAAAAAAAGAGCTACATAAATTAACTGGAAGTATCAAAAACCATAATTACATTGGTATGTTAAAAAATAAACATTTTGTTTCTTGTCTAAAATTTATTTAAAATATAAACATTTGTTATTTTGTACATTTTCTTCAAAAGTTTATTAACTGGAAAGTGGAAATAGATTGTTTAGTTTGGAAAAGTTAACCCTTCATTATCAGCAGGACCCAGCAAAATCTGACTTCATTGACTCATTCAGGAATATTCATATTGGAGAAAAAATAAAAGAAAAAATTAAGACATTGGAATTTGAAAATTTTAAAAACTGAATTTCAAGGCTCTCTATAACATTACCTAAAACTAACTTTCTAAAGTTATTTCCCACTATTTTCCAACATGTTATAGAGGATCCATGGCAGCTGAACTGCCTTCTGTATTTTTTAATGATTATAATTTCTCAGAATTTATTGATGCTGTCACTACCTCAAACAAAAATTTCCCTAACTCAACTTTAACTATTTCTTTTTAGCCCCAGCCTACTTATTATTTGAAGTCTTTCTCAAAAGTAACTTCCTCCATGGAGCCTTTCTTATTTCTCCTTGACAAAAATAATCATTTCTTCCTCTGAACGTCCATGATACATTGCAAGAAACATTCACTACACATGATTTGAGTTTAATATATGTTGCTTATGTAGTTATGTCCTATTCATGATTAACTATAAGCAAAGGTTGTACCTTGTTTACTATGATATCATCTATATCATACAAGATAAATGGAATTAACATTTACTGAGAACCTACTATGTATCTTTATGAAACAAATAATCTGAAAAACGCTAATTTTCATCATAACTCAAAGAAACAATTATTACTATGCCTTTTTTACACATGATTAACTTTCCCGTTTAGAAAAAAAAGTTCAACTCGTGTATAATTTTACATCAACACACTCTGAGGCTGAAGCAAATCTGACTGATTATCAATGTGAAAATAAAATATAAAAACTGTTCTTATAGTTATTTATAAACAGAACTAACATTAAAATTATCTGAATCATAAGAATCATCTATTTTAGAAAGATAGGATTCATCAAATGGATCTTTGGCCAACAACTGTTCTAGAACGATGCTAACATCACATGTAGGGTGCTACGTTATCTAGGATTTAATATTTTCTGTGATAGAGAATGGCTATATTTTGTAAATAGAAATACCACTACTAAAAACAGAATGCTATAAGTAGAATGTCTTTTGTTTCCAAAGTCAATATACTAGAGTAATGCGAAAACAATAACGAAAGCAAGATATTTCTTGTCAAAATTTACTTGGGGTAAATGCTGCAGCCACGAGCACTGCTGGCAAGTATTCTCAGGGCAAACTGGAAAAAGGTTAAATAAAAACTGCGTAAACTTGTCCAAGATCACATGAATAGTAACAGGAAAGCTACAAGAATAACCGAGGGTTCTATTTATATGATCCAAAGCATATATTTGTTTCACTAAATATATTGGTAATTGCTAAATGTAAATAGAAACCTAACAGTCAAAACCAGTAAGTTGTTAAAGTATTGCATATTTCAAAGAGAGAGAGAGAGAGAGAGAGAGACAGAGAGAGAGAGAGAGAAGGGAGTGAGATGATGTAAGACAGAACAGAGAGATGAAAGGAAGGAAGGGAGGAAGGGAGGGAGGGAGAAAGGAAGGAAGGAATGAATGAAGGAAGGAAGGAGAAGGGGAAGGGGAGGCAAGGGAAGTGAAGGGAAGGGAAGGAGGGAGGAAGGGAAGGGAAAGAAGGAGCTATCATGTATTTGAAGCAGAAATTCTAAGTATTTTGGTTTAGAACATCTCATACAGAACACCCAAAGAAGTACAAAAGAATAAATCAGAGTAACTTTCACTGCAATATAAAGAGAGCTATCTTTAGAACAATAGCAAAATTACTAATAAAAATTATTATCTTGAAGGGATAAAATTGCTATTGACTTGGAATTCTTAAGGTTAGAGGAAGTAACTTCAATAAACCGTGTCTTGAATTGCTGTTGGCAACTCTGAAAGTAATCTTATATATCTTACAATGCCTGGACAAGGAAATACATTTATTTCAAGTAGATCAAGTTTCTTCAATATGTGTTGCTTATGTATATAATTAAAGATATAGTCTAGGAGCTAAAATGATGATGATGAAATAGTTTTTTGTATATCATTATTTAATAAAGTTCCTTGGTTATACCCAAATGTGTCAGGAATACTGCTATGAAGCTTCAAGGAATATTGGAGTCTTGCTCAGTGACAGTGATTTTTGAGATGAGTAAGGCCATGGACTCTACCTGGATGGGGAACCTATGGTTTGTGACAAGTGTCTCACCCACATACACACAAAATAAATCTAATTACAAATATCTCTGAATCTTGTGGCAGAACAATAAAAAAGGTGGTTTCATGTGTGTGTGTATATATATATATATGTTATTCTAATGAATATATTTCATGACCTAATGAAATAGTTACATAATTTATTAACATATTTCAAAAAGTAGAATGGGCAATAGTTGCTAACTTCCATTTTGGTAACTCTAAGTTATGGAAGTGCAACTTGCTCATCACCAGCGCTTTGTAAAAATGGTGTGATGTGTTGAAGCATGTGGAATTAATATCTAAAAGATGTATACATCTTTTGAAAATAATATTTAAATCTGTCTCTGAAAAATATTACGAGAGTTTTACCGACATGCAATTTTAAGACATTAAAATATTTTAGGCCAGGCGCAGTGGCTCACGCCTATAATCCCAGCACTTTGGGAGGCAGAGGCAGGTGGATTACCTGAGGTTGGGAGTTTGAGAGCAGCCTGGCCAACACGGTGAAACCCCATCTCTACTAAAAATACAAAATTAGCCAGGCATGGTGGCACATGCCAGCTACCCAGGAGGCTGAGACAGGAGAATCACTGGAACCTGGGAGGCGGAGGTTGCAGTGAGCCAAGATCGCACCATTGCACTCCAGCCCGGGCAACAAGAACGAAACTCCATCTCAAAAAAAAAAAAAAAAAAAAAAGTATTGCTAAGGCTTTCTCCTGTACATATATCCCAAAGTGGTTCATAGCAGCAATAATCAAAATTTAGAATAATGGTAATATTCAATAATAGGAAGCAATTATTATGGTAATCATCTGTGGAAGATAATTTCAAGCAACTAATAGCAAAAGCAAAATTATGGAGACTGAATAATGGTGGTAATCAAACGAGCAATTTCCCAACTAAAACGCTTATTTGACAGCAACCTGGTTAATTAATGTTGTACATCAATTCAAAAACAAACAAGTATATTAGCTAAAAAAATAAGCAGAACACCTTTCAAGATAATTGAGAGAATTATTCATAAACGACATAGAAGATCTAATTGATAAATATTTGTGAAAATATACCTCATACAGTTAAGTAGGTAAGATACATAGGTAAAAGATATCTATATAAATACTTACTGATACAATTTGCATTCTCTCACAAATATTACCTAATGGTCCATGAAATCAGTGTATTTTGTTTACCACTATATCGATAAACAAAGCACTTGAAACATGATAGATGTAATTTGTTGAATTAAGTGAATTGGCAGATGAAAAATTTCTGAGACTGTCTTTTGCAAAGAGAGGATTCATGTTTACTCTTTTTCAATATTTCATGTGCACTTACTCTTAATGTCTATGCTCCTCCTGCTAATTCTATGGGTTATGAGGGGAAAAAAAGCTAAGTTGCCAGTAAAGTGCGTAGCAGATTTTTCTGTGTGTTTTGTTTTGTTTTTTGTTTTTTTTTTTTTTTTGCTTTATTTTGTTAAACAACACATGGCCCACGGGAACTGGAAAGCTTATCATTTGGGTTAAAGTGTTCCTTTTGGTGTTTCACTGTGGCACTGCACAGTAAAGTTTTATAAGTTCCAGGAAAACAAATGAAAACAGTAATTCAGATTCCAGTCTATCTTTATAGCCTCTAATTTTTGTTCTCACTTATGGCATAGCCATCTTGGGAGCTCTTATTACAAAATTTAAATTCCTGAATCAACAGAGCATTTCAAACAGCGAACTGTTGAACTCCTCCAAGAAGATCATGTTGCAGAGGGCAACGGAAGGTCAGGAACTTCTTCCAATTCATTCTTGTCATCTCGGGAAGTAACACAATCTTTATGGTGTCATAAATCCCATGCCATTAAAGCACCCAGTGTTCTCATAATATTAAAACAGGTGGTATCAGCCCCTAGTCCCAGCCCTAGTATGTATGTTTAAGATTTCATGAGAGATGAGTTGTCAATATTGCCAACTTTTTTAAATATGAAAAATAGGTAGAAAAGGAATGTTTTCAATGATTATAGGATTAAAAATCTTTTTAAAAGAGAGTATTCAAAAATTCTAAGAAAGTAGTATCTGGTCTTAGCAAACAATAACAGACTCAAATTAAGTGGGCAAAGACATTTCATTATTGAGGACAAATTAATGGGAAGGCTAAGAAAAGCAGTAATTATGGATGCAAAAGGAGATGCTGGGGAAAATACAAGTCAACTTTTTCATTTGGTATTTTGTAACTAACTAGCTGTAGCACATAAGGGTAAAACCAATCTGATAACGCCTAGGATAAATGCAGTGAATTTTATGGAGCTGTAACTTTGGGATTGTTCCGTATTTTGAAAAACTTCAATTACATGTAAAATGCTACAAGTGGTATAGTAGGTGTCAGGTCAGGATTAAATAACTAAATGAATATTAAACATATAATTTAGGGCAATATAAAATGTGTTGGTTATTTCTGTTTGTTTGTTGGAGTGTTTTAAATCAATAATCCAGGTCATGTAAAATAAAGTTACTGGGAAAGACTCCACATGACATTCTCATTTTCTATTCCTGGATTGGAAATGTTGAAGATGAGCTATGTATTTAATCATGTCTGCTTCTCTCCATGAATAAGGGAATAGCATAAAGAACACAGCTTTCTTAAAGTTAATGAAAAAGCAGAACAATCAAAGGAAGCAACTCCGTCAGGGAGCAGCTCTGGTTCCTCAGATCTAAGCAGGGAACAGTAAACAACTGCAGTGTCACTATTCCCAGTTGCAGGAAACACAACCTATTATCAAATATCCTGAAGATGATGATATAGGCCCTCCAAGTGACATAAGTCCTTGTGTAAAGAAAATATAAACTTGCCTTCAGTAAAATAGTCTGTTTTCTTGATTATCCTTTTAACTATTTGATACATACCACCTTCACCTACTGAGACATGGTTAGAACAGCAACAAATTCTGGATTTTCTGAGTCAGTGCCAAATTAAGTCTTTGGCCCATTTGTTGGTGTGTTCACCTTAGAGTTAGATTCAGAAAATAATGTTCACTTCCACCTGACATCATTTGGTATTAAAACATTCCAACCTCAATTCAGGCAAGAGCAGAGAAAAAAAGAAGGTTTTTCTAGAATTTCTAAGTCCCATTCCAATTTCAACTTCTTAAAAGAAATGATTCAGGCTTTAAAACATCAAAAAAAAAATCACGATAGAAAGTAAGCTAGCAAAAAATACAGGGGTTTTGTTTGTTTGTTGTTTGTTTAGTTTTAGGTAAGGGAAATTTGAAGATGATAGATTAAGCTTGGACGCATCTGTGGAATCTCTGGCGTGAAACTGGTACAGCTATCCATCTAAATTACTAGAATGATCTTGTTCCTCATCTTTGGAGAAGTCAGAAATGATCCTAAAATGACCAACAGAATTGAGATAGATAGAAGATAGATGCACTGCTCTTATCTCCTTCACTACTTGTTATACTGTATACAGCAAGTCTGCGTGTGTGTGTGTGTGTGCGTGTGTGTAAACTTTCTCAGAATCTCCCTCACTATATTGTCGACTTCTTTAAAGTAGGGTTGCATTTTTAAATATTTGATGATGATAAACATGACATGGAATAGTCACATAATAAATGCATGGTTATTACATCAATGTATTTATACATGAATTAATGAATGTTATTCTCAAGACAAGAAAAGTAAATAAAATAATAGTTACATTGGTTTTAGCTAATATTCATGAATACCTTGGTAAGGAAGAAAAATCAAATGAAATGAAAGTTGAGTTGTGTTAATTCATTTTTCTAGCTTGTATGTAAGAAGCAGTAGCGGCATAGATTTGGAAAGATTGCCTAGCAACTGTTTACCAATAAAGAAAATTTTCAGGATTTTTGTTTGCTTGTGTGTGTTTATGTGTGTGTTTGTTTTTTTGAAACAAATTCTCACTCTGTTGCTCAGGCTGGAGCACAATGGTACGATCACAGCTCCTGGGTTCAAGTGATTATCATGCCTCAATCTCCCAAGTAGCTGGAATTACACGCATGCACCACCACACACACATAAATGTTTAGTAGAGACGAGGTTTGCCATGTTGGCCAGGCTGGTGTCAAACTCCTGGCCTCAAGTGATCCACCTGCCTCGGCCTCCCAAAGTGCTGGGATTACAGACATGAGCCACTGCACCTGGCCCAAATAAAGAAAGGTCTTGAAAACAAACCTGAAAAAAATGATTCTAAAACATTGTTGTATAGAATTAGTTTTTAGCTCAGGTACAGTTAGTTTTTGATTACTTAATTCAATTTCTTAATATGGTTCACAACTTCTTGTGGATTATTTGGCTGAGCTTTTAACATCATAGAATAAACAATATTCTCCATTCGCTTTAGTTCAAGCAAAACTTTGCCTTCTTATCTCGGCCACACACAATGCTAAAGAGATAAAACTGTCAACTTTCTAAAGGGACAGATGAACAGAAAAGCATATATCAAATACAGAGAGAAAGGAACTACTTGTCTGCAACCAGGTCAAGTTATGAGGAAAAGCCACATGGAGAAAACATGGCCACTCTTGATGATGCTGGAGCTTGATGATGCTGGGACCTTATTGTATCCAATGTTAACTAATTGTTACTCACTTCTCAGCTCAAAACCTGAGGAATTTACATTGCCTTTACCAACTCATGGCCTTCAGACTGGATATTTTTGACACACTTCTTCACTAAGGGATAACAAATATTAGCCCTGGTGGTATTTTAAAAATTGACTTATTTATCAATAATTACAATTTGGGATATGTCATAAGCAAAACGTGTAATTCTATACTTCTTGAAAAATTGGAAGCTCAGGTAGCACTGGGTGACTTCACTTGGAGCTTAGTATTAGCCACTTCCCTTAGACAAAAGAGACATATAACCAATATATCACAATCCCAATCACTTTTAAATGATAAAACAGCTATGATGTAATAACTCTTTTCAGGAACACGAAAGGTAGAAGTGGGTTAAAGCAGTGGTGTGCCGGAGCCAGCTTATACTGATTGGCTCAAGAGAAATAGTGTGTGCATTTCTTACCAATTTCAAGGTCAATGGCATCATGCTGGTAGCTTTAATTCAGCTACAGTGAGCATACTTACACCACAGAAATCTGCAAATATTGTCAATCTAATTTTCCATCGAAGCTCTGATACTAGTTGTTAAACATTAACCAGCACACCATTGGATTGAGGTAAAATGCAGAGCACATACCCACATGAAAGGGACAGCTGCATTTAACAAAGCCACTTTAGTTACATTTGTTAAGTGCCTTATTAAAATCATAATCCACAATAAAAATATATTGAGTCTATCATGATCAACCTCTGCTTATCTTTTAAACACAATAACAAATTGTCCATTTGAACAATACTGAACTATTTGTCATTTCTAAGATGGGACAATTTTTTTTCCTCTTGGTTTCTTTATAATTATTGTACCCCTTTTCTGGAATAATCTTTTCATCTTGTTCATCTGTCAATGCCTGCTTGTCTTCTCAGATTTCAACTCAGGTATATTATCTTCTCCTGAGTTATTTTTTTAACTGCTGTAAAGGCGTATTTCTGTGCCCCATATCTACGCTTCCTAGGATAAAGCACGTTCCTCTAATAGTGTACAACATTTGGCAATTGCCTGTTTGTCTCTTCTCTCTGCTAGACGTTGTGCTACTTGAGAATATAGCTTTCCCTTTTATTAATTTATTTCGTTTACATCCTTCTGTCACAGGATTCTACCAGCCTGGATCCTATGCCTGCCAAGGGCAAGTGGAGCTGGAAGGGATGTGTGAGCAAGCAAGCATCAGGTCCGGCCACTGCACATAGCTGCTGGCTGCAGTGGGGTGGGCAGCTCCAGTCTCCAGCACAAGAGCCAGCTCCTTGCGAGGCTACAGCTGGACCAGACATCCCACAAGCAGCTTCCACAGATGGCACTAGGGAATGCAGTGGCACCCAGAAGCTTGAAGGCACCAGGAACCACAGAGCCCCAAAGAGGGTGTCACAGTCCTGGCTTGGGGAACTCCTAGATCTGGGCTCCCTGAAGGACTGCAGCTCTTCTCTCCTTCTTGTCACCCACAACATGGTGAGCAAGGGGTGTGTTTCAGCCCTGTTTGTGTTACAAAGGGCATGTTCAGCCCTGCCATTTGGTGGGTCCTGAGTTCTTGTCCAGTGCCCAGGAAAAATGAGGAATGCTGACAAGTGGAGGGTTAGCAAGGCGAAGAGGAGCTTTATTGAGCAATAGAACAGCTCAGAGGAGACTTGAAGTGGGTAGCATTTGTCCACAGCCAGGGTGTCCCGATGAGTGTTCAGCTCTCAGCAGAGAGGAGACCCTGGAGTGGGCAGCTCCTCTTCACAGCTGGTAGTGTCGATGTTTGCTCAGCTCTCAACAGAGAGGGGAACCTGGTGTGGGTAGCTCCTCTCCACAGCTGGTTGTCTTATTGTCTCCTCAGCTCTCAGCAGAGAGGAGACCCTGGGTTGGGTAGGTTCTCTCTGCAACTGGCCATCCTGCTGTCTTCCTAAGTCTGTCTGAGTCCAGGACCTTTATGGGCCTCAGAGGGGAGAAAGCGTGCACCGATTGATTCATGGGCAGCTATGGGCAGGCATGGAAAAAGCACCACAAGTTCCCGCTACAGTCTGCAGGACTAGCAGCCTGGCCCCCAGGCTTCAGGCCCTCCCTGGCTTGAAGATGGAGCTTCAGTGGGGATCTGCCCGCTTCTGCCCAGGAGCCTGTCTGCCTCCTGCTGCCATTCATGGCACTCAGGCTGTTCATGCCAAGGGGTTCCTGAAGGTCAGCAATGACCCGCCCTCAGCCCTGCCCTTGGCCTTCCTCTTGTGCTAGTTGTGCCCAAAGTCCGGAGGGGATGAAGGTGGCACGGGGTTGGTGTGTCAATACTTCCCTGATTGTGCGCACACCTGGCCAGGCTGGGATAGTGACCAGACTCGGCCCCAACCTTGCTCTGAGATCAAAGCAGATGCTAGGAGTGGAGAGAAGCCAAACAGTGGGAGCAGGCACTTCCAAGCCTGTGGGGGTATGGGGGTCCTTCCCAGGCCCCTGAGAGTGCAGAGATGCCTGGGTCCACAGCCGTGACATGAGGAGTTGCAGCTGTGCCTGGGAAGGTGGGGCTCCTCCTGCCTGTTCCTGGCTCTCACCAGCTCCCTGGAGCGTGCAGTGCTGCCTGTGCCTCCACACTGCAGCTGGCATCGTGGCAGCTGCCGCTCTATACAGGCTGCCACTGCCATCACTTCCAGAATATTACGTTGCTGCTACCTAGTAGATGTTCAGTAAGCTTCTTAATTTTAATAAGCATTTAACTAGGAACATGAAGTTCTTTATACTTTGAGACATTATATACCTGCTTGTTATTGCCATGAGTGCTTTCTGTCTCTTGACTGAAACATGGCTCCCAAGCCTGAAACATCAGGGATAAAGTCTGGTGAGGAAAACAAAAGCAGAGAAGAGAACCAAGAGCCAGCATGGTTCACCAAGGTCACAGGGCTCTTGGTTACTGACTGAATCCAGACTGTAGTCCAATGCTACTAGCAACAAATCTGTTCTTTACACTGAGTCTCGGCTACTTTGCTTCTCTTTAAATGCAAGTAATCAAACTTTTTCTTCCTACTACTAAACATTTTAGCACAGGTATTATTTATATACTTATTGAATGCACAGCTTTTCAGTAACAATCCTAGATAGCTAGTGTCACTATTTAACACCTTAAATCTCTAATTATGATGAGTCCATTTTGACCTTTCCTAGAGTTCCTCAGAGGCATCCCTATTATTGTCTTATCATTAAGATTTATTAGTATCATTTCATTTACGAACTGCCATTTTCATTTTATTTTGGGGCATATGTTCAAACTGGCATCTTCCCCAGCTGCAATCAATGTACATAATGCCACAGCTCCTTGATTGGTTTAAGAACATTTTCTTCTCTACGGATAGGAACACAGTTTAAGGTTTCTGATGATGGCACATTTCAAGTGATGCTGCTTAATTCACCTGCAGTTCTCAGTGTCTTGGTTGTCTCATATTCATCTTTAAAAATAAACTTCCTGATGTTGCAAACTAAGAAGTGGTCCTAAAGAAAAGAAGATTAAAACCACAGATGGTGCAATATAGATACCAGACATCCTATTACACTAACTCTGAGTATTACAATTAATGTAATGAAGAAAAACTTAAATGTGTTGGCCTTAAGAAGTTAGATAAGACCCAGTAGGTGACAAAGTTGCTTACGGTGATGGTTGATTTCCTATTCCAGGTTGTTGGTTTTTCTTTTTTACTGTTCTGAACTAGAAAAAAAATGTCTTGGAAGTTCATATAAATAACTTTCATGATTTCTAAGAACAATCATTGGTTACAGATGAATGTTTTCAGGATAATTGTCATATAGATTTGGTTATGAGAAATTAATAAAAATTGTTCCAAATAAATTTAATGTAATATACATCATTTATATGAAGTCTTTATCAACTTCTAAAATATTGCTTTTAAGTGTTTTTATTTATATTAAAATATATAGTCTATCTTCACTGGAAATATTTTCCTAATTTTGTTTTCATATAATTGCTTTTATTATTGTAATTTCTGTTGAACATTTATTTAGTACTCATTGATCAAGTCCATACAACAAAGAAAAGTTTCTCTAAATCTCCAATGAATTTGGCTGTGCTCTGATTATTCCTGCTTCCCTAGCTTTCAAGACAAACAAAACTGTCTAAAAGTTTTAATTGTAGTTGATAAATTCTGAAAATGGAGTAACTTTTAAAGGCTCTTTCACACAAAAATCCTAAAGAAAACTCATAAATAATTACTCTCAGTAAACCCCCTCAAATTTTTAGAGCTTTTTTCACTTTATTCCCTTGATATAAAGTGTTAGTTTTTAGGTGGATTAAAACAACCTATTAGAAAATCTTGCCAGGTGTGTTGGCTTACCCCTGTAATCCCAGCACTTTGGGAGGCTGAGGCGAGCAGATCACCTGAAGTAAGGAGTTCGAGACCAGCTTGGCCAACATAGTGAAACCCTGTCTCTACTAAAAATACAAAAACTAGCCAGACATGGTAGTAGGTGCCTGTAATGCCAGCTACTTAGGAGGTTGAGGCAAGAGAATTGCTTGAACCTGAGAGGCGGGGGTTGCAGTGAGCCAAGATGGTGGCACTACACTCCAGCCTGGATGACAGAGCAAGACTCTCAAAAAAAAAAAAAAAAAAAAGAAAAGAAAAGAAAATATAATAGACTGACTCTACATTTATTTGTACTGTTCTATTTAAAAATATTTTAAATAATTTTTAACAGACTTTGCACCACAGAATGTCCAGGATATATCAGGAAGGAGCAATGAGGTAAGTGTTCCTCAAAGTGACAGTTATAAGTGACTAAGACATAGGGAGATGAATCACTTGGTCATCATATTGATCTGAATTCTGGGAGGACATAGATCATAAATTTGAAGGAGAAAGGCAATGCATTTCTGCAAATGGATACTGCTTAAAGTCCCTAACATGCTCCTTGAAATAAATGGGGCACAAAAGAGGTTGTTTTACCCTAAAGCAATTTTACCTCCAATCTTGGCAGATTTCCAAATTTTTGAGACTTGACCATAGTCTTATGTTAGAGTGGCTTTAAGGGGACAGGCAATGGGATATTCACTGGATGTAAAATCAGATGATTTTGGTTTGAAAGCAAGCCTTTTCACTTATCAACTTCTTGACTTTCAGCAAATCATATAACATCTCAAATTATTAATTGTCATATTATCTGTGAATGACATATATATACATATATAAGCCAAGAGTGTTTTGTAAGCAGTGAATTTCTTTACTGCCATATTCAATAAAGCAAGCAGTTGTTAGGTGATAGTCATTCATTTATTCATTCAACCACACTGTTATGTTGGGTGGAGGATACTGACATCCATGAAAAACAATCCCCTAATTTCAAGACATGTATAGTCCAGAAAGGGTTGTAGACTCAACTCATTGTGGCTCACAGATGTATTTTGTCTGCTGGCATATTTATTTAAAGTTGGAATTGTAAGGCCTTTTAATACCCTCTCCAGTTAGTCACATGCTCAACCTCTCCTTTTCTTATATTAACCTGCTTTAGTCAAACAAGGTCACACACTATAGGTACTCTCTTTAGTCAAATTATTTTTTCCAGTGGATATGCCTTATTTATGTTGCAGTTTGACACTAAAGCTACATTCAAGAAAATGTTTCTCCATGCAAGCTGTTGGAATAACATCCATAAGAATTCAGCCATTCTTATTTGTATATTTGTCCAAAATGCTCCTTTTCCCCCATTTTACTTCTAGATTATGTATATCTGTAAATGTTTCTTAGATTTACTTTGCTACATTATAGTTTTGCCAAAACATACCCCTGCCAAACAGGATACACTTTTCTCACCTCATTCTGAGGCTTATATTTCCCACAAACTCAACAATGTAAATTAGATCCTATTAGGTTGGTGCAAAAGTAATTATGGTTTATGCCAACTAAGCAACCTGTACTAATAGACTATTCCAGTCTTAGCTAATTGTTCCCTTTTCTGAATTTCTGTGATATTCTGAATGCCTATACCACCCATTTGGGAATGTAACCACATTGGGAAACATTTCTTTAGCTATTTCATGTCAGCATATCTTTCTAAAACACATTATTTTTTGAAAACAGAAACTGGGTCTTAAATTCTCTTGTTTCTAGATCTTCTCCCAGTGAAATCTTGGTGAAATAAATTGACAAATAAGGAGTGAAAGATGACACAGCTAAATATGTGACCTCCAAAACATAGATCTAGTTATATTTATGGTATAATAATATAAAATGCAAACTATCATATATATATATATAGTAAAACTTATTCTTAATTCTCAGAATCAAGCTAAGACTCACTTGTCCACTTTTTCCATCCTTAAACAGAAGCATACATAGAATATATATATATCCCAAGACCCAAACTAATTTTCTAGCAATCAACTCAGTGACTTACATTTGTAATTAGAATAGTATTATCTGTGGTGCTATATTATGCATTTGTTTCCACAGAACACTATCCTTCTATCCTTGTGTTCTGATGTACTTAATAACCTCTTGATTATATATATAAAGTAATTTTCATGATGCTGTGTCTCTACTTTATATAGTCCTGCTTATACATTTCTGCAAATAAAGCCTGTTGTGAGAAATTGTATGATGAAAACCCAGAGAATATTACCTTCATAGTTTCAAATAATGCCTAGCTATGTAGTCTACTGCTCTCAGAATTTCTATTTAATTCCTAGGAGACTACAATCCATTTCTTTGATGTGCATGATTTTGGGACTACATTTGACCATGCTTAGGCAGGTCAGTTTTCCTTTGTGGTTTTATACTGTGCAGGACTGACCTTTTCTTGTGCACATTTATTTTCCTTTTATTTTCTTTAATGGCCCATTGCATGCTGGCCATTCTTAAAATGACTTCCAAGTAGAAAAATATGGATTTAGGATTTTTTTTATAACTACCCCCCAATGAAGTGATCTTTTCTGTGTGAACTGCAAAGAGTTACTAGAAAGCAAAGATTGTTATTGAAAGAGGACTAGACTTCAAATTAGAAGACCAAAAGGATCATAAGAAGCCATTCTGTTCTGTCAATTAACAACGATATGACTTTGGTTGACTTTGCTAAATATTTTGAACTTAATTTTCTTATCCATAAAATGGAATGATGATGATGATAATAATAATAATAATAATAATAATAATAATATTGCTAGCACCTTCTATGGGAAGTTGGTACAATTAAATAAAATTTTTAAGCAAAGAGGTTTGCAAATTTTTAGCATTACAAAAAATGTACATAGTATAATTTGTAAGAATGAAGAACAATGACTGAAGCCTTATATTTGGCACCATCTGTTCTTAGAAATCCATAGGATGAGCCACACAGAATAAGAGCTGAGTATATTGACTGACCTATAGGATTATGCAAAGTCAAAATTCAGTTCTTCATATACAGAAAAGGTGAGTTAGATATTTGAATGGTGAACATGTAAGCACAAAGTAAGTTTGAAAATAAGTTGAAAATTAGAAAATTCTGCAATATGTACCCCCAAATTAAAATTATATATATATATGTATTATATGTGTTGTGTATACATATAAGAAAATTCCACGCAGAAAAAGCAACAGATGAGATGTCAAAAATAAATAATATAATGGTGACTGTTATAATTCTAACAGTGTCCAAAATTCAGGAAGTTTGTTTCAACAGAAGTGGAACAAATAATCACTAAAAAATGAAGAGCTATGCAATGTAGCAGTCAAGTTACGTAGATGGGAAGCTGGCATTCACAGGAATTTAAGTAAAAATTCAATCTAGTCATGCTGCTATTAGGCGTGTTCTTAATTTTGTTGGGTTTTTTTAATATAGTACAGTGGTCAAAAACAGTTATGACTAAAAGGTAAATAATATAACAAAAATCTCTTGTTGGACAAACCACAAGACGGATTTAATATTTGGTCCTGTGGCAGTGACCAAAGGCATCTTTTTACCCTTTATTTACTACAATCTCAAAATTCAAGCTGGTACTTCCAAATTGCAGGATGAGATTAAAGAATGACACTAACAGACTAATCTGCTAGTATTACAGGAGTTTTATTTAAACTATTGTATTTCTTGTCATTTGTGAGCTTACTGTGTGTTAAATGATAAATTAATCTGAGAAGCATGCAAAGTTATAAAATTAACTGTTATAAGTGCTATGTCAGAAAGCTGCTGAGACTATTAAGTTTGTAAATTTGGCATTTACTTTTTTGTGTATGGCAGGGAAATTACCCTGAGAAGGTAATAGCTGAATTGAATATATAAGAAAGAAAGTTAAAAGTGGCGGGGAAGATAAAATAAGGAGGAAGCATTCAGGCATAAGAGCAGCCCTAATATAGCTCTTATAGCCTCATCAAATGGTCGGTGAGATCTGAGCACTGAAAGCAGCAGGAAGAAAGGAGAAACATTCAGCTACAGAGGTAAGTAGAATCAGCCTTGAAGGCCTTCTGTGTAGGCCCTGTCAAATATTTTTGTTTTATGAGTAATGGCACATATGTAGGTTTTGTAGCAAAAGGTGACATATCTAAACGTACATTCCATAAAATACTGTGGTTTCAGAGTGAAGAAGAGGTTTAATGGTGCAATATTGGATATGGGGAGAATGGTTGGGGATTATTGCAGCAGACAGCAGACCACACAGCAGGACCAGGGCAATAGAAGTGGAGATAGAGAGAAGACTGACTTAAGAAATGCTTAGGAAATAAAGTCAATTTACAGTACTGAACTCCATGTTGGAGCAAAGGAGAAAGCAATGTCACAAATAATTCCTGATTTTCTGGCTTGGATGTTGATGCTAGAAACACTAAAAAAAAAAAAAAAAAAATTAATTGAAGTGAAGGGGGTCAATATGAGTTTAGGGGTGTTGACTTGTAGGTAACTTTGAGACATCCAAATAGGGAATATTGAAATCCTAGCTGGACGAAAGTTTTTGAGTCCAGAAATTTCAAAACTGTAAATATAAATTTTGGAGTTATTTGTATATATGCATATATAATATAATAGAATTATTGAATTTTCAGACCTATTTTAATTTGATTATCATTTTGCCATGTTGTGAGAAGTTTTTCAATAGAAATTGGCTGATCCAATGCATTCGTTCACTGAGAGAGCCAGGAATTGGACTGATTCACAGATGGGGTTGACTGGATGAATGTGACAAAGTAGCAAAAGGACCAGGTAATTGAAAGCATTATCAAGAGTGTGTTGACATATGAACAGTAGACTCTAACTAAATATAGAGATATTTGAGGACACAGAAGAAGGAAAACATGAAAGGTGGTCAGCAGACATAAGATGTCAATGAGATTACATGTAGAAGTAGCTGAAAAGGGAGAATTTTGAGATCAGAATGTGATGTGATTTAATTACTGGTTGAAGTTGGGATACTTACAGGTGCAGCGATGTACTCAACCAAAATAAATGAGATGGTAGAGTGGAAAAGAAACTCATTGGCAGTGAGGTCAAGGAGCTGAAGAGGTTGCATGTTGAGAGTTCATGCCCCAAAATGAATAATACGAAGGAAAGATAAAAAGATGGAGAAATAAAGACACAATAGTTCACATGCTTTAGAATATTGAGGAATCAATAACGTATGCTATTGCAGTAGCTTTAAAGAGATTATCATTATAAATGCTTTGGGTTCCCTCAGTTTTGAATTTAAACAACAAATATTTGTACATCAGAATCTAGTGCTTTTGAATATTTTACATTCCAGCTGACATTACGCTCCTTTCTCCCATTACCCGTTTACCCATGCCACCCCCCCGACACACCAGAAAATATAGCAAATAAAAATATGATTTTGACAGTTCTGTCATTAGGAATCAATGAAGACAGTCACAAGATATTTCCTAGTAAGCTCTTGGACAGAGAAAGGAAATGTAATTAAGATGTTGACTAATTTAATGACGTCTATTCTCCAGAGCATATCCACTTTTACCGCTGTTGCTATTTCCAGATCCTATTTTCCAGCCAGTGATTTTTTTCATGAGTTGTGATATTCACTTGAAACCTTAATCATTCTCAAAGATCCAGCTCTAAAATGGAAATTAGGGCTTTTCCCTCCATCTGAAACTCACTTGAAAGAACTAAAGCTGCTGTGTCAACTGCTTTCAAGAATTATAGAGGGCAAAGCAAGGGAAGAGCTTAAGAATAATGTAAAAGATTTTTATTCTAAAACACTGATTACCTAGACTCTTCCTGTGGAAATTTAAATGCTGAATTTTCAGATCCTAGATTGAAATGAGAGCGAGATACACAATATGGCCTTGGTAAGAATATCTAATAAGGACTCTGCCATCATAAAATGAAATGTTGGTGGCATCCAAATAATGCACTACAAATTAAGTGGGAAGCAACATTTTTATGCCTAAAACTCAAATTTAAAGGGTTCTATTAATTAAGGTACAATTTGTGGTGAACGATATTTCAATAAACTTGATTGTTAAATTCTATTTTTATCTAATACTATCTATACACTTTTATCTTTGTCCCTGGCTTTTTAAACATAATCCTTATTCAGTCTCTAATTGCATCCTCAGCTTCGTCTCTACTGGTCTCCTGGCTCTATCATTGTCCCTATGCAGCCTATTTTATAAGATTCTCCAAAATGTCTCCTCATTTTTGCAAATGCTTTTCTTCCTCAGAATAAAGTAAGGTGCAGTGGTTGATCCCATCCCACCATTGATTTCCAAGCTATGGTAGGCAGAATAATGCCCTTGCCCCTGTAGAAGTTTATATGATAATCCAGGACCCTGTGAATATGTTATGTTACATGACAAAGGGGAATTAAGTTTGGAATTGGAATTAATTTGCTATTCAGTTTTCCTTAAAATAAAGAATTTACTCTGGATTATCCAGGTGGATCCAATGTAGTGGCAAGAGTCCATAAAAGTGAAAGGAGACAGAAGAGGGCTCAGGGCCATATATATTTAAATGTGCTATACTGCTAGATTTGAAGATGGAGGAAAGGCTTTGAACCAAGAAATGCTGGTGGCCTCCAGAAGCTAAAAAAGGCAAAGAAAAGATTCTCTGCTGGACTTCCTAGAAGGAATGCAACTCTAATGACACCCTGACCTTTACCCAGCAAGACTGAGTTTGACTTCTGACCTGTAGAACAATGATATAATAATGTGTATTGTTTTAAGCCACTAAGTTTGTGAAAATTTATTACAGCAACAAAAGAAAACTAATACACAAGCCTGTACTTATATGTCTGTCAGCAATTTTCTGCCTCGGGATCCTCATCTTCATTAATAACTTGCTGCAGTTTTTAATTCACATCAGTGACCAAGATTGTTAGCAAATCCACTTGAGTTGGTGTACTGCACAGTAGTTACAGTTTTCCATTACTCAGAGGAAATAGAAAAAAAAAAGTTCTCCTGAAAGGGAGCACTAGAAAAGCCAGCATTAGAAATTATTAGAGAAGGATCACTTCCCTTGACTTCTGCCCACGTCATTCATATTGTCTGAAGGACTGTTTGTCCCCATTTCCAGATTTTCTTCTCTCATTGCTAACCATATCCATTTGGAGTCAAATTCATTTGATTATACCTTTATTATCGCCCCAAGTCTGTTTATAGAATACCTCCTAGGACTGCATTATACCTATACCTTATTTTTGTTGTTGCTTATTAAGATAGTTTCTAAAGTGTCTCTTCTTCCCAAGTATTCCTCAGACAATTGGAAGAGAAATGTTTATCTTCTCATCTGTCTAAATAAACAGCAATCTCCAAAATGTCTAACTCAACTCATTGCTTATAATAAGCATCTGAAACATTTGTCATAAAACCATCCTAACTCATACTAACTGTGGTAAAAAGATGAAGACAAGTCTGATGAAGAGAAAATAAGAATTCTATCTATAAGACACAAAGTTTTAAATTTAAAATCATTCAACTCAATATAACTTGCAGCTATCAAGTATTAAATTATTTTTCTAAAGACAGCATCAAAGTTATGAATACACTATCAATTTTTATGCTGAGAGATGCTTCCAGAGTGTGAGAAAGTGCCTTCCTAAAAAAATTAAATATCCTCCTAAAAATATTAAATATCACTTTAGAATGTTCACTATTCAATTTTCTTATCTTTTTCTTTCTGAGAAAGTATAAAATTAGTTTTTTTATGTCCAAAGGTGGTGATTTCTAAGTAAAAAAGAAACCGAGTATTTAAGTTTTAATTTATGACACTGTTGTATATGGTGCATATTTCATGTATTTGTCCACATCTATAATTTTTATACTTTGTTGTATCATCAACACACAGGATTTCTGAGTTATGGAACGTGGATAAGGGTTTAACAAATAAATCCTTTTCAAATTAATAATGATAATAATTATAATCTTTTTTTCATCCTTGAAATCCCAAGTGGTAAATGCTCCAACAAAATATTATATATAGAAAACAGGGTTATTATAAACAGATTATCTTGAAGGACTATCAAAAAACATTACCATAATTACATACTTAAGAACATAATTATAAAATCTATTTGAAATAATTCATATATTGATAATACAGCTGGAAAATAGAAATATTTGGACTGCCCTTTCTGTGATAAAGAAATGTCATGATCCCTTCCTTATACCTTACACAAAAATTAATTCAAGATGGATTAAAGACTTAAATGTTAGACCTGAAACCATAAAAACCCTAGAAGAAAATCTAGGCAATACCATTCAGGACATAGGCATGAGCAAGGACTTCATATCTAAAACACCAAAATCAATGGCAACAAAAGCCAAAATTGACAAATGGAATCTAATTAAACTAAAGAGCTTCTGCACAGCAAAAGAAACTACCATCAGAGTGAACAGGCAACCTACAGAATGGGAGAAAATTTCTGCAATCTACTCATCTGACAAAGGGCTAATATCCAGAATCTACAATGAACTCAAACAAATTTACAAGAAAAAAACAACCCCATCAAAAGTGGGCAAAGGATATGAACAGACACTTCTCAAAAGAAGACATTTCTGCAGCCAAAAGACATGAAAAAATGCTCATCATCACTGACCATCAGAGAAATGCAAATCAAAACCACAATGAGATACCATCTCACACCAGTTAGAATGGCAATCATTAAAAAGTCAGAAAACAACAGGTGCTGGAGAGGATGTGGAGAAATAGGAACACTTTTACACTGCTGGTGGGACTGTAAACTAGTTCAACCATTGTGGAAATCAGTGTGGCGATTCCTCAGGGATCTAGAACTAGAAATACCATTTGACCCAGCCATTCCATTACAGGGTATATACCCAAAGGATTATAAATCATCCTGCTATAAAGACACATGCACACATATGTTTATTGCGGCACTATTCACAATAGCAAAGACTTGGAACCAACCCACATGTCCAATAATGATAGACTGGATTAAGAAAATGTGGCACATATACACCATGGAATACTATGCAGCCATAAAAAAGGATGAGTTTATGTCCTTTGCAGGGACATGGATGAAGCTGGAAATCATCATTCTCAGCAAACTATCGCAAGGACAAAAAAACAAACACCGCATGTTCTCACTCATAGGTGGGAATTGAACAATGAGAACACATGGACACAGGAAGGGGAACATCACACACTGGGGCCTGTTGTGGGGTGGGGGGAGGGGGGAGGGATAGCATTAGGAGATATACCTAATGTTAAATGACGAGTTAATGGGTGCAGCACACCAGCATGGCACATGTATACATATGTAACAAACCTGCACGTTGTGCACATGTACCCTAAAACTTAAAGTATAATAAAAAAAAAGAAAACATGAATAATGGGGAAAAATATTAAAATTTTTTAAAAATGTAATTATTATTATTGTGTATTAACTACTGCCAGCATGTATGGAATATATTCCGTAGCTTGATGTTGATTCAGAAAGGTTTTTTGAGGAAAAAAAAGATCTTCCAGAGAAACAAAGTATTTTAAGGAATTCTATGTAAGAATGTAACATGTTGGAGAATCAGAATGAAATAAACTCAGATCAAATTAAAAAAACACAAAGCCTAGTTAAAAAAAATTCGGAATCTCCTCTTCTCACCCTGTCTTATGGAGAGTTCAGGCAAATAATCACAGTTTTATTCCATTTGTGGAAAATAACTACTCACCAAGAATAGATATACATTGAAAAATAAGATGACTTATCTTTAATTATTTAAAGTAAATATTGTACTATATTAATAATAACCTTAATGCTACAACTAAACTCAGGAAAGAGAGAATATAGGAAAAAGAGAGGGAGAGGGAGAAATGCAGGTGAATATTATGGACAAATAGAAGTGGCCAAAAGTCACTTCTGATTTATGCCAGAGTCCAGAAGTCGGGTCTTTTACCTGTATTTGAATAAACCCATTATGCTTAATTAAATGTTTCATAGAAATATTTGACGTACAATTACCTCATCTAGGCTGCTGCATAAGTCAATATTCTTCATATTCTGCATTTGAAAATGGAGTTCATGTCAGGCTCACATTTTTAGCATCCTGAGCCATTAAACAATCTATCTAACTTGAGACAGAGTTTTTAGAAAATAAGTACCTTGTCTGTCTTTATACCACATTATTTCAGTGGTCAGGATCCCTTAATTAGTTTTTATGAAGAAATACATGCCACATAATGTGAGTGATGTTTCATTATTATCCAAAGTTTCCTACTGTAATTTGAGTTGTCATCCAAAAAAATTATAAAATAAAATAAAATTTCTTCGTTCTTAAAAAAGTACAACTTCTTACACTCTTATTTACAGAATTGAATGGCCCTCAAATTATTTGAAGCTTAATTAACTTCAGTTGCTAAAATATGAGCTTCAATTCTGAAAGCTTACGCCCTTGAAGAAAAACTTTGCCATATTCGTTATATTGCCCACAGGATTATAAAACAAATTTGCTTTTGGGTTCATGCTTAGTTATAAATTTGGAACCATTTTCATGCTTACTAGTGCCATATATTTTCCATAGTCTACAAATCAGAAAAATATTTAAGGGAAAAGAGTCAAAATAATTAAGAGTAATTTGGATTTAAAAATATCATCATTAAATCATAAAATAAGAACTCTGACTTTTATTTAATTATGCTCCAACAATAGAAATCTACTTAAAGTGGAAAAGAATGTAGAATATGATCTTTAAATATTTATATTATCTCTATGTTACATTTTTTGCCTGAGAAGTTTAGAGCATTAAATGTTATTTTGATTTTTGTCAATTAATTGAAATATAAAAATAAATGTTTCAGAAAAAAATCAAGTTGTTGATTTTTAATAGAGCCAATATGAAATTTTTAAAAATTTCATCTTTAGAGTTCTAAAATAATTAAGTAATCTAGAGCATCAGCTTCATATGGAAAACAGTCTTTGTCTCTTTTGTTCACTAATGTATCCCCAGTACTTAAAAGGCTGTTCATAAAAGACTAAGCCATCGATAAATATTTTTACCATAGTCTGAACTAAAGCCACCACATACTCAACAAAATTTGCAATAAATTGTCATTCATCTCCCTGATTCTTGGACATCAATGCTCCAATGTTTATTCATTCTTATCAAGCTTATGTAAATAAAATATTATTAATTGAAAATCATATTAAAATATAATAGACATTTTGGAATAATTGTTTTTAAATTTTTTCCATTTTTTTCTTTTTATATGAAATATCAGATATTCAAAATATAGTATTTACAGTATCCATTCCATAGTCCATTCAAATTACTTCTCAATTCTGTTTTAAGTTCTAGTTGTTGTATTAAAGAATAATAGGTTTATAATTACTTCAGCAGTTTATATTGTTTCCGAAAATTGAAATTTCAAAAGATAAAGGTATTTGGATTTTGCCTTTATGAAAGCAACATATTTGAACTTTTTATTTAACACTTTTTGCTTCTGGCTTAGGTTTACACCTGGCATTTATTCCCTCTGATGCCAAGAAAATAGGAGATCTGATTATTTAGTGAATGTTGCTTTTTTAAACAAAATGACATTTAATCTAAGGAGTCTGGTTCCTCCAGGTTTTGTTCAGTTTCAGAATAAAGATATTCAGGTGAGAATAAACCTCAAATTGAAAGCGAAAGCAGTCCTTTGAAAAATGCGTGTTTAAAAAGTATACCCTTTGTGATCATTGATATTTAATGCAGAAACTCTATGTAGTACTGTGTAAGCCCAATTTATTCATCTCAGTACTTATAATCCCACTGCCAGACCGGAGTTCCAGACAACAGAAAGTGAGTGCATGTTTTATCATTACTTTTTAAAAAACATTTTATTGAGGTCTCATTGACATACAAAAAGCTATACATATTTAATATATACAGCTCTATGAGTTTGGAAATTAAGTCTATACTTGTAAAAGCATCACTATACTATAATTCATAACATAAACTTATCCATGACCTTCAAAAATTTCCTCCTACCTTCTTATTTATTTTGTTTCTATGTGTGTGTGTGTTTAACAAGAATGCTTAAGATCTACACTTAGTAAATTTTTAAGTATACAATACAGTATTGTTAACTATAGGAACTATGCTGTAAAGTAAATCACTAGGACTTGTTCATCTTGTACAGCCAAAACTCTGTACTCTCTGTAATCTTTGTCTAATACCTCCTCATTTCCCCCTTTGACATAGCTTTTGGCAACTATTCTACTCTACTTCTATGAGTTTGGCTATCTTAGATTCATCATATAAATTATACCACGTAGCATTTGTCCAGTGTCTGGCTTGTTTCACTTACAATAGTGTCCTCTAGGTTCATTCATGTTGTTGCCTATGATAGGATTTCCTTTCACAAAGCTGAATAATATCCGTGTGTGTGTGTGTGTGTGTGTGTGTGTGTGTAATTTTTTTTTATCCATTCATTTATCAATGGACAAGTAGGTTGTTGTCATATCTTGGTTATTGTGAAAAATGCTATAGTAAGCATGGGAATTCAGATACCTCTCTGACCTCCTGATTTCAACTCTTTTGCATATCTATACTCAGAGATGGGATTGCCGGATCATATGGTAGTTTTATTTTTATTCTGTTTGAAGAAACTCCATACTGTTTTTTATAGTAGCTGTACCAATTCACATTCCCACCAACAGTGTACAAGAGTTCCCTTTCATACACATCCTTGCCAGTACTTATCTTTTTTTTTTAAAGTAGCCATCATAACAGGTGTGAGATGATATCTCATTGCATTTTTATTTGCATTTCCCTGGTGATTACTGATTCTGGGTATCTTTTCATATACTTGTTGGACATCTGCATATTTTCTTTGGAGAAATGTTCATTTATTTATTTTTCTCATTTTTAAATTGGGTTTTTTTTGTTGACTTGTAGCTTCTTACATATTTTTAGTATGAAAATTTTAATATGATAAATGTGAAGAGAGAGCTTTATAATGAAATTATTTCATTTCTCACAGTATTCCATTTTTCCACTGTCAACAAGTTTGCTTTTTGTTTTTTGTTTGTTTCTTTGTTTGTTTATTCATAGTGTTGAGAGGTTTTTGTCTTTAATTATCCATGTATGTGAATATTCTGGAGAAAGTGCTAAAGAAATGTATTTCATATAAGTTTATTCAGTCACAAATACAAACATTCACTTCTGTGTGGTTTCTTTGTAGGATATGATCATTATTCACATTTGTTAATTAAACTGATAATGTTCAAAAACAAGATATATGTATCTTGGACAGCTACATGGTGTTTTTAAGCTACATGATATTTTAAGCCAATTATTTTGACTTGGGCTACTTTTTTTTTCTTGCTGTTTTTAAGCATTTTATTATTATTATTATTATTATACTTTAAGTTTTAGGGTACATGTTCACAATGTGCAGGTTAGTTACATATGTATACATGTGCCATGCTGGTGTGCTGCACCCATTAACTCATCATTTAGCATTAGGTGTATCTCCTAATGCTATCCCTCCCCGCTATCCCCACCCCACAACAGTCCCCAGAGTGTGATGTTCCCCTTCCTGTGTCCATGTGTTCTCATTGTTCAATTCCCATCTGTGAGTGAGAACATGAGGTGTTTGGTTTTTTCTCCTTGCGATAGTTTACTGAGAATGATGATTTCCAATTTCATCCATGTCCCTACAGAAGACATGAACTCATCATTTTTTATGGCTGCATAGTATTCCATGGTGTATATGTGCCACATTTTCTTAATCCAGTCTATCATTGTTGGACATTTGGGTTGGTTCCAAGTCTTTGCTATTGTGAATAATGCCGCAATAAACATACGTGTGCATGTGTCTTTATAGCAGGATGATTCATATTCCTTTGGGTATATACCCAGTAATGGGATGGCTGGGTCAAATGGTATTTCTAGTTCTAGATCCCTGAGGAATCGCCACACTGACTTCCACAATGGTTGAACTAGTTTACAGTCCCACCAGCAGTGTAAAAGTGTTCCTATTTCTCCACATCCTCTCCAGCACCTGTTGTTTCCTGATTTTTTAATGATTGCCATTCTAACTGGTGTGAGATGGTATCTCATTGTGGTTTTGATTTGCATTTCTCTGATGGCCAGTGATGGTGAGCATTTTTTCATGTGTCTTTTGGCTGCAGAAATGTCTTCTTTTGAGAAGTGTCTGTTCATATCCTTTGCCCACTTTTTGATGGGGTTGTTTGTTTTTTTCTTGTAAATTTGTTTGAGTTCATTGTAGATTCTGGATATTAGCCCTTTGTCAGATGAGTAGATTGCAGAAATTTTCTCTCATTCTGTAGGTTGCCTGTTCACTCTGATGGTAATTTCTTTTGCTGTGCAGAAGCTCTTTAGTTTAATTAGATCCCATCTCTCAATTTTGGCTTTTGTTGCCATTGCTTTTGGTGTTTTAGACATGAAGTCCTTGCCCATGCCTATATCCTGAATGGTAATGCCTAGGTTTTCTTCTAGGGTTTTTATGGTTTTAGGTCTAACGTTTAAGTCTTTAATCCACCTTGAATTAATTTTTGTATAAGGTGTAAGGAAGGGATCCAGTTTCAGCTTTCTACATATGGCCAGCCAGTTTTCCCAGCACCATTTATTAAATAGTGAATCCTTTCCCCATTGCTTGTTTTTCTCAGGTTTGTCAAAGATCAGATAGTTGTAGATATGCGGCATTATTTCTGAGGGCTGTTTTCTGTTCCATTGATCTATATCTCTGTTTTGGTACCAGTACCATGCTGTTTTGGTTACTGTAGCCTTGTAGTATAGTTTGAAGTCAGGTAGTGTGATGCCTCTGGCTTTGTTCTTTTGGCTTAGGATGGACTTGGTGATGTGGGCTCTTTTTTGGTTCCATATGATCTTTAAAGTAGTTTTTTCCAATTCTGTGAAGGAAGTTATTGGTAGCTTGATGGGGATGGCATTGAATTTATAAATTACCTTGGGCAGTATGGCCATTTTCACGATATTGATTCTTCCTACCCATGAGGATGGAATGTTCTTCCATTTGTTTGTATCCTCTTTTATTTCACTGGGCAGTGGTTTGTAGTTTTCCTTGAAGAGGTCCTTCACTTCCCTTGTAAGTTGGATTCCTAAGTATTTTATTCTCTTTGAAGCAATTGTGAATGGGAGTTCACTCATGATTTGGCTCTCTGTTTGTCTGTTATTGGTGTATAAGAGTGCTTGTGATTTTTGTACATTGATTTTGTATCCTGAGACTTTGCTGAAGTTGCTTATCAGCTTAAGGAGATTTTGGGCTGAGACAATGGGGTTTTCTAGATATACAATCATGTCATCTGCAAACAGGGATAATTTGACTTCCTCTTTTCCTAATTGAATACCCTTTATTTCCTTCTCCTGCCTAATTGCCCTGGCCAGAACTTCCAACACTATGTTGAATAGGAGTGGTGAGAGAGGGCATCCCTGTCTTGTGCCAGTTTTCAAAGGGAATGCTTCCAGTTTTTGCCCCTTCAGTATGATATTGGCTGTGGGTTTGTCATAGATAGCTCTTATTATTTTGAGATACGTCCCATCAATACCTAATTTAATGAGAGTTTTTAGCATGAAGGTTGTTGAATTTTGTCAAAGGCCTTTTCTGCATCTATTGTGGTAATCATGTGGTTTTTGTCTTTGGTTCTGTTTATATGCTGGATTACATTTATTGATTTGCATATATTGAACCAGCCTTGCATCCCAGGGATGAAGCCCACTTGATCATGGTGGATAAGCTTTTTGATATGCTGCTGGATTCGGTTTGCCAGTATTTTATTGAGGATTTTTGCATCAATGTTCATCAAGGATATTTGTCTAAAATTCTCTTTTTTGGTTATGTCTCTGCCCGGCTTTGGTATCAGGATGATGCTGGCCTCATAAAATGAGTTAAGGAGGATTCTCTTTTTCTATTGATTGGAATAGTTTCAGAAGGAATGGTACCAGTTCCTCCTTGTACCTCTGGTAGAATTCGGCTGTGAATCCATCTGGTCCTGGACTCTTTTTGGTTGGTAAGCTATTGATTTTTGCCACAATTTCAGATCCTGTTATTGGTCTATTCAGAGATTCAAATTCTTTCTGGTTTAGTCTTGGGAGAGTGTATGTGTCGAGGAATTTATCCATTTCTTCTAGATCTTTTTATGTTGTTTTTCTTCTCTCTTGAAAAAATTACTACGGAGGTTGTTTCAAAGAAGGTATCTTGACCCAAGATTTTATTGGAGATATTTTGAGACCATTGAAAAAAACTGTATCTCCCTTATCTGATTATAGTTTCATCAATTCCTAATGCCAAACTCTGGGGCTACCTCGAATGGTAAGTCACTTACAAACTGCCAAGTAATAAGCCCAAACAAGAAGTTGTCAGATAACATCCCTGGACAACTGCAAGTAACTTTAGTGTATCTACCTACGGACTTTCAAATAAATGCTCTCCTCCTAATTCTACCAGCTCCTATTCTGTACTTTACTTTTCCTGGGGGAAAAAAAAAAGCAAATTTTGGTGATTATTTTGAAAATAAGTATTATTTGAATTTATTTTTCCCTTTGGTCTCTAGATGAAAAGAATTGTCTTAGCCATTCCCAATAGTTCACAGTTCTTATTTATTTTATTTTGCACATTTGTCAGCATCAATACCCCCCATATCTGTTTCCTACATAGACATATTCTGTATGTCTAATTTTTCTAATATTTTCTAATATTTAATATTTGACCAGGAAAATATTGTATACATAGAAAACACAGGACCATCTTGTGTGTGCTTAAATTGTGTTATATATCTCATTCTTTCTTCGATTATTCCCTTGTCATAATGTTTTTAAGACTTGTTTATACGGTTATATGATATCCTGTTTGCTATTATGTTTCTATTGCTTTATAGTAATGCATATTTCACTTTTCAACTGAACTAGAAATGCAAACTTAGGTTGCTTCCATTTCTTTGATAATTAAATTCCATTTCTTTGGAAATTTCTTTCCAAAATTAGTGTTAAAATGTGTGATTTTCTTTGCGTTCCATAGCTGGGTGTGACTGTAGAGTACATGTACACTTACTTTCACTAGGTAGGGCAAGATTTTCCTGTATAATAGCTGTATTCATTTACGCTCCTACTGGAAACACAGGCTTTCCAAATTTCACCATGCTTGGAAACACTATGACCTGTTAGGTTTACCAACCAATCAGAATAAACTGGCATTACATTGTCATTTTAATTTGTACATTTCTGATGAGGTTATAGGAACCGTTTCATTTGCTTATTACTCATTCATGTTTCTCTTTTTATGAATTACCACTTTTGCCCATTTTTTCAATAGAAATTTCTGGGTGTTGTCTGTGTGCACATGTGTAGGCATTTGCATATTTTCTTGACAATTTTTAGAATTTAAAAGTGATTATTTCAAAGAAGGAACTATTTGTTACACTTTACCAAAGGTGTCATTTTTTAAACTGAAATCTTTAATTTTAATGCAAATTTATCATATATTTCTGTTATAGTTGTCAGCTACATTTTTTTTTTTTTTGTGACAGAGTCTTGCTCTGTCACCCAGGCTGGAGTGCAATGGTGCAATCTCAGCTCACTGCAACCTCTGCCTCCTAGATTCAAGCGATTCTCCTGCCTCAGCCTCCCAAGTAGCTGGGACTACAGGCACAGGCCACCACGCCCGGCTAATTTTTGTATTTTTAGTAGAGACGAGCTTTCACCATATTGACCAGGCTGGTCTCGAACTGCTGACCTCGTGATCTGCCCACCTTGACCTCCCAAAGTGCTGGGATTAGAGGCATGACTCACCGCGCTCCGCCTACATTTTTTATTTGTTCAGAATTATGCCTTTCAAAGTAAGTTTTTGATTCAGTCAGAATTCGACAGTAGTCAAACTAATTATTTCATAAAATTAGTCAATTTCCCTATTTTATTTCCTATTAAAGAGTCCATTTTCCGTACACATTTCTAAGTTTATTCTATTCCACTAGTATATATGTCTGTTCTGTCATAAATATGACACTGTATCTTTGACCTATATTTTAGTTTGTCTAGAATGAGTTCCCTGATTTGGTCTTCTTTTTCAAAATTGACACAGCTATTTGCTCTAGACTAAATGCCTGTGTCCTCCCCAAATTCATGTGTTACATCCTAATCCCCAATGAAATGGTATTTGAAGGTAGATTTGGTAGGTGATTGAATAATAAGAGTAGAGACTTTATGAATGAAATTTGTGCCCTTGTAAAAGAGGCTTCAGAGAGCTCCTTTGCCCCTTCCACTAAGTGAGAACCAAAGAGATAATGGCCATCTATGAACAAGGAAATGGGTCCTCACGAAACACAGAATTTGCCATCACGTTTATTTTGGACTTCCTAGCCTCCCGAACTGTGAGAAATAAATATCTGTTGTTTATAAGCTACCCAGTCTATGATATTCTGTGATAGCAGTTCAAATGAACTAATATATTATTCAAGAATATTTTATACTTTTATATAAATTTTAGCCTATGATTATAAAATTGTTCAAAAATTCTGTTAAGATCATATTTAGATTATAAAAACTAACTTATTAAGAATCAATATGCTTATAGTAAGTTATTTCATCCATTGAGATTTTCTCTGTGGGCATGAAGAGATCTACATTTATCTATGTATTACTTTGTGTCTTTCAATAGAGTTTTAATTTTATTTCCATAAATTTTTCCTACATCTTTACTTGGGCTAATGCATAAATTATTTTTAATTTTTGTTATTTGTGAATGATGTATTTTCCTACGAAATTGTCTGGTTGATTATTTGTTGTGTAAGGGGCATTATTAATTTTTGTAAGTTAATTATGACAAATTAATTTTTTATCCAAAAGCTTTGTAAACTATTTTATTAGTGCCAATAGAGTTTCAGGTGATCTGTGGGGTTGATCAAACAATCTGCAAAAAGATGACAGTATTTTTCTCCTTTCTTGTCCATATACCTAATTTTTTTCCTTTCCTATAAATTTTGTTAAAACACTTAATAAAATGTTGAAGAGTAATGGTGTTGAGGTACATGTCTGGTCATATTAATCTTAAACAGAACATAAATATTTCTTTCTACATTTCCTGTTGTTAGGTGTTTGGTACTATGGCTTTTGATATGCTATGGAAGCTCCCCTCTATCTGTAGCTTCCTAAAGTATTTTTTTCTTTTGTAGTCTTAACTAGATATTAATTTTATCACTTATTTTTCTAATTCTATTGAAATAGTTCATTGTTTTCCTTCCATTAATACAGTAAATCGATACATTTTCTGTTGTGGAACAACACTTGCATTTCTGGAATAAATTCTAATTGATCATAATAAACTATTCTAAATAGTTTTTTTATTTTTGCATGCGTCATCACTTAAATGATCCAATTTTTCCTTTTTTGTACTTTTGTTTTCCAATTGGAATTAAAATTACATTAACTTCATAAAACTAAGTTGAACACTTCCATTTCTGTATTCTGCAACTGTATATAGATAAATAACCTTAAATGTGGAAGAACTCATTAATAAAATTCATTTGTTCTATGACATTTTATTGAGGAGAAGGGTCGTACTCTAATCATTATTTGAGTTTATTTACTAGGTTATGATCTATTCAAGTTTTCCATTTTTTTCTGTAACACTTTTGGCATTTTACCTATAAATTTCCCACCAGTTTAACCATTTCTCTTGGATTTTCAAATTTTATAATTGTTTATAATATTATTTTACTATCTTACAAATACTGTTGTGCCTGTAGTTAGTCATTTCTTTTTCATTCTGGATTTTCTCTCTTTCTAAATTGCTTCTATTTTTGTTGAGTGGTCACCTGATAATGGTCTAATTACTAATATTTTTAAAGAACCACTTAGTCAAATTTTTTCCTTTCCACTCTTTCTTGCTCTATATTTAATATACTCAAAACTATAAATCTTTCTCTAAGCCGGATTTTTCTGTATCACACAAGTTTTTACATACAGAGTTTTCATTGTCATGCATTGTAATTTCTAATTTGTCTTACGAAAACCCCTTTCACACAAAAATATTTGGTAGTATACTTTTTAGTTTCCAGATGTATTAGATTTTAAGTAATTCTCTTGTTACCATTTATTTCATTGTGTTATAATCAAAGGAGATACTTTTTGATGTTTATGTTTTTTATTCATTGTTTCTTTTACCAGAATATGACATTTCTATTTGCATGTTATGAAATTTTTAAAGTAATCATAAATTCATTATCTGGAATTAAAATTGCTAATACATTTTCCTTTCATTTAGTATTTGCCTGAAATACTTTTTTCTATGCCTTTGTGTTCAAACTTTTGTTATTCACTCCTTTCAAGTGGGTTTCAGACTTTTATTGTTTTATAAAGAATTTTTTAGGTTGATTGTTGTTCTATGAGTTATTATTAGTCATCTTATTTTAATTTTCCATCTGTTTCCCTTCTTAGTTATTTTACATACCTTTATGCTTCCCCTTTTTTTTTTCTTCTTCTTCTTTTTTTTTTTTTTTTTTGAGATGGAGTCTCGCTCTGTCACCCAGGCTGGAGTGCAGTGGCACCGTCTCGGCTCGCTGCACTCCACCTCCCGGGGTTCACACCATTCTCTTGCCTCAGCCTCCCTAGTAGCTGGGACTACAGGCGCCTGTCACCACGCCCAGCTAATTTTTGTATTTTTAGTAGAGATGGGGTTTCACCATTTTAGCCAGGATGGTCTCGATCTCCTGACCTTGTGATCCGCCCACCTTGCCATAATTTCTTTCTGATCTGGAGGTTACACCTGATAAATTTTATTTATCTTGTGGTTATTCTTAACTTTCTACAGCTGTGTAGGCATGCATATATAATCTATTCCTGTAAATTTCTTCAGCTTGACATATTCGTATCTTCATCCAGAACAAAGAGATGCCTTGGCGCATTTTGTAATTTCCTAGTCTCCACAAAGTCCCTGACTCTCTACCCTCTCATCATAGTGTTTAATCTATAAGTCTAGCTTAAATTGTTTCATATAGAAAAGTAGGTATGTAGATAGATGGCAGATGTATAGATACATATGCAGATATGCAGAATATTAATAAACAGATATGTAGATGAATTTAATCAATGTCATATGCAATATTCCTGAGTTCATTTTATAATGTTTGAGTACTTCCTCCAAAAATGTCCTGAAAGTCTTTAGATGATAAACTCTTCAAGGCCTTGCTGCTAAAAATATTTGTAATTTAACTCTTATACTTAGGTGAGTTGGTTCAAAACTCCTTTTCTTCAAAATTTAAAAAATGTTACTTTATTTTTTTTTTTTGCAGTCAAACATGCTAATGAAAAAATCAATGTGGTTTTGATTATTTATTTTAGATGAGCTGCTCTTCCTCTCTAGAAGTTTTTAGTAGATGTATTTCCCCTGTCTTTGAGTTTGAAATTCTCTGGGCCATTTCAGTCTGATACCTAATGTGTCTTTATTTCTGAGACATCCGAGTCATTACTTACTTAAATATTTTCATCTCTCATTTTTTTCTCCCAAAGAGACTCTCAAAATTGTTGAGAATTCTACTTTTATTCTAAAATTTCTTATTTTTTAACCTATATTCCTCATTTCCTTATTGCTTTTGGTACGATGTAGAAAAATTACTAACCTTCATCTTCAAACCTATTAATTTTTTGGTGTATTCGCTATGCTATACAAAAATATCTAGTATCTCCAACCCACCTTTAATACTTTTCCTACCCAGAGTCTCTCGTGGATGTGTGTGTGCACGAGCTACAAGGCAGCGGCAGGACCACTGTACTTGCAATAGAGGTTGGGCACGTCCCTGGATTTGGGCCTGACGGGGAATCATTTCAGGCTCCACCCTTGACCAGGAGCTCTCTCCCATCTATTCCTCAAGTTCAGATGGAGAAGAGTTGGAGGAAGGGGAATATTCAGAAGGTGGTGCATCTGCTTGAATCTCTTTTCATATTTTTGCTTCTCAGGAAGCCTCTATCTCTACCCTGCCCTTGTTCCTTTATCACAGGCCAGTACCAACAGGCACTGCTGTTTTCTGCCTCTCATTTGCAGTGGGACAGGCAGGGATCTCTTAGGGGAAAGACAATGACCATCCAGTAAGCTTTGCTTCCTAGCAGACCTTCCATTTATGGCCTCTTTGATTGTCGATTTATCCTCCCATCAATGCCAAAATAGCTTCTTTCTCTGCAGATGTTTCAAATGGTCTATATTAGATATTAGGCTTAACAATACTCTTCTCTTTGCTTTCGTGGAATCCTTGGCACTGCGATTGGAAAAAGGAGGTGACAGACTATCGGTTTTTTGGGAGGGTTTTGCCACCTTTTCAGAAGTGACAGCTGGAGTTAACTTCTCTGAGTCTCTTTTTTCTCCTTATTCACTTTTATCATCTCTCTATAAAGGGAGTAAGAGGTTTTCAGACTTCCAATTGTGGTTTGGAATAATTGAAATTAAATTTTCAGAGAAACAGCATTGCTTGGGCTGAAGCTTAGACATGTGTGTAAGATCAGAAGGGATGTTGCATGCATCACTCAGTAATTGTTCAGTATTTTAAAACTTTGATGGGTATACTGATGTGAAGCTGGAGAAGATTAGGAATAGGATGAGGCTCAGGTAAATAATAATTTTCAGGGATGGTTTTGTATGTATAACTGGTAAAATAATATTTTGACATGACTGATTTCATGAGGCTGAGACAAAATTGCTACATTTAAATGCCATAATTCTAATGAAGCAAATCTTAAATATTAACGTGACTCATTTGTTTATTGCCTACTGTAAGCTAAGCACTACAATATGCTTCTGCTTCTCAGACAGGAAAGTGTTTTCATATACATTGCCCTGTCTGATTCTTCAATTTCATGGCTTACTGAAGGACCCAGGTCTTCTGATTCCACAATCTTAACACTTTCTACCAGACACTAGCTGTTATTCCCTGAGCAGAGTTAACCCTGAATATAATTAATGATATAAGTTAAACATCTGCCTCTTTATTTCCAGTGCCCTCATTCTGATTCTCAGCTGTGCAGGGATCCCCTCTGAATAAAACTTCCATGGAAATGCCATGTCCACAAACTTTGACATTCATGGCCTCATGAATCCTCACCTCTGCCCCATTCACCCAATGTCTTACTGGGCGACTGCTCAGCTAATTGGATTTGAAAATAATTTTACACAGTTACAGATTAATTTGCCTCTCCTCTCAAAGGGTATTTAGATAATTATCAGCAACCTCCAGTGCCTTAACTGAATGAATAATGTGGTAACTTCCAGCCCTGTGGCAGGGTTAGGGGAGAAATGTTTTTAATCACGGTGTGTGGGAGTGGCAAGAACTGGGCTTGACTGAACTGAATTGCACTGTGTCAGCAGCTCTGCCCACACAGCCCACACAACAGGTTACACTCTCTCTGAGTAATCAACCTACAGTCACGGTATTTAGAGACTCGAGATTCAATTTCAAAAGATAAACAAATATCAACACTATTAGGACCACTGAAAACCAGGCAAATTTATACACATATTATTTATGTACATACGATATTTATAAAGCACATTATTATGAAATTTAATTTTATCCAAGGAGTATTTTAAAGGCATGTTAGTAACCTGATTTGCTCCTATGCTGTATAGCCATATTACATGAGAAGAATTAGGTCAAGTAATTAGATCAACTAACATCATGATTTTGAGGTTGTTTTTTTTTTTTCCATGAAGTTCTTAACTATGGCTTAAAATGCTGCATATAATCTATATCCCAGCTTATTCCCAGCCTTCTTCGTGTTCCCTCAGCTCCAGCTGCACTTGCTCCTTGCTGTTCTTTGATTACACCAACTGTGCTTTGGCATTTCTATCCCTTCACACTGAAATACTCTTCAGCCAGATTTCTTCTAGAGCCACACGTTCCTTGACCATCCCATATATCATGACAATCATACTATCCACTTCCTATCCCCACATCCCTGTTTATTTTATATCCTTTATTACCATCTGACATAGTACTTATGTATTTTGTTTCTTTCCCCATTACAATGTGAATTCCATGACAGCAAGGATTTTGTCTGGTTAGTTAAACTAGTATAACTAGTTTATTGAGTCCTCAATAAGTAAAATTGATTCCTCCATCATTTTCCTAGTCTAACAAACTAGGAAACTACTTTGTTAAACTAAGAAAAAAGATTGAGGACTTAATAACTACTTGTTAATGAATAAAGCAGTAGAAAATTGTTGTGCCATATATATAGGTACATAGGAATCATATAATTTTGAAATAATTCCATATCAACGAAAATAGAAAAATGTTTATGAAAACGCCTTAAAGTACATAATGTTTTATATAAATAAAGGCATTATTAATTTTTTCTAGTTGCTGACACTTTGTATAGTTTCTAATTATGATTTTTAATAGTCCAAGGCTGTGTAGGACTGACTTTTTAATCATCTGAATAATTTATATTTGAAAATATTTGGATATATAAGTGTGATGGTTAATACTGAGTGTCAACTTGATTGGACTGAAGGATGCACAGTATTGATCCTGGCTGTGTCTCTGAGGGTGTTGCCAAAGGAGATTAATATTTGAGTCAGTGTGCTAGGAAAGGCAGACCCCCCCTTAATCTGGGTAGGCACAATCTAATCAGCTGCCAGCATGGCTAGAATATATGCAGGCAGAAAAAATGTGAAAAGAGTGACTGGCCTAGCCTCCCAGCCTATATCTTTCTCCCATGCTGGATGCTTCCTGCCCTTGCAGATGGCCTGTTTTGGGTCCTTGTGATCATGTGAGTTAATACTTAATAAACTCCCTATTAGTTTTGTCCCTCTAGAGAACCCTGACTAATACAGATTTTGGTGCCAGGAGTGGTTCTAGAGGAACAGAATATTAAGGATGGAATTCTTTCATTGGGTTTGGTGTTTCTGGAGTTGGCTGCTTAATATGATTAGACCCAAAATTGCTAAGGGCTCTACTTCTAATAGTACGGAGAACACAGATAGTCCTTGGCATGAACTGCTTAGAGAGTTATGCAAAATAAATGCATTTGACATTCCTAATTCATCACTCGTGAGAGGCAAGGAGTTTAGTGACTCTATACATAATACCTTTGACCATATGTGGAGAACCAAGAAACATAATGTAGCTGGTTGGTCGCTCCTAAGTTCAGTGGACAAAGTGATGCAAGAAAATGATGAACTCAGGGATTCTGTCTCCTGGCTTCAGAAGTGGATACTGAGCCTCAAATCTGCTAAGATTGCCCTGAGTGAGAATCTCATCTCCTGTAGAGAAAGAGCTGAAATTGTGGAATAATGAACACAAGCTTTTATCACACGAGCTGCTGACCTGCAACAAAAGATGCATGCACAGCCTTGCCAGGTATCCGCTGTTAAAGTGAGAGCATTCATTGGAAAAGAATGGGACCCTGCAACTTGGAATGGGGATGTGTGGGAGGACCCTGATGAAGCTGGGGACACTGAGCCTGTAAACTCTGATGAACCTTTTTTGCCAGAAGAAACAGTTTCCCCATCCCCAGTAGTGGCAACATCCCCTCCCCAACCCATACTACCATCAGCCTTTCTCCATCTTTGCCAGAGGAGATAAACTCTGTTCTGCCTGAGGCAACAGTGATGGCCTCCCCTGAGGCAGTTGCCAGGAAAGATAATGTTAATTCTCCTCAGGAGCCACCCCCAACACCCCTGTTTTCTTCTAGACCTATAATTAGACTAAAGTCCTGGAGAGCCCCTAGAGGTGAAGTTGAGAGTGTGACTCATGAGGAGGTGTGCTACACTTAAAAAGAACTGCTTGAGTTTTCTAATTTATATAAAGAGAAATCTTGAGAATAGGCATTAGAATAAATATTAAGGGTGTGGGATAATGGTGGAAGGAACATAGGGTTGAATCAGACTGAATTTATTGATTTGGGCCCACCAAGTAGGGACTCTGCATTTAATGTTGGAGCTCAGGGAGTTAAAAAAGGTTCTAATAGTTTATTTACTTGGTTAGCTGAACTATGGATTAAAAGATGGCCCACTATGAGTGAGCTGGAAATGCCTGATCTCCCCTGGTTTAATGTAGAGGAAGGGATCCAAAAGCTCAGAGAGATTGGGATGGTGGAGTAGATTAGTCACTTTAGACCTTCTCACTAAAGTCAGGAGGGTCTAGAAGATATACCCTTGACCAATGCCTTGCAAAATAGATTTGTGATGGCGGTACCTGCATCTTTGAAGAGCCCTTGAATTGCTCTTCTCTGTATGTCAGGTTGAACAGTGGGAACCACAGTCACTTGACTACACAATTTAAATGCAGTTGGAATAATTGGATCCCAAAGTGGCAGGGGCCAAGTTGCAGCACTCAACTGTCAAAGGCAAGGTGGGCATACCTACCGTAATAGACAGCAGAGGCAAAGCAACAATCAAAATAGTCTGATTTGTGTAGAGCTCTGGTACTGACTAATTAATTACAGTTTTCCTAGAATGAAATTGATAGGGAGCCTACTGCCTTCCTACTTAATTTATATAAGCAGAACACTTCTAGATCAAATGAGCAAAAAAAAATTTGAATTATAAAAACAGATAATCATGGCCCCTCAATCAATTTCCAGACTTGAGCCAGTTTACAGACCCAGAACCCTTGAATGAAGGGAAGACTGGGTTCCCTTGAGGAAGGAATCCACTACATTAGTGATAATTTATGCAGTAAATCCTTCTTCTGTCCTTCCCCAGGGAGACTTCCGACCTTTTACCAGGGTAAATGTTCATTGGTGAAAGGGAAATGATCAGATATTTTGGGGACTACGAGACACTGACTCTGAGCTGACATCGATTCCAGGGGACCCAAAACGTCATTGTTGTCCTCCAGTTGAAGTAGGGGCTTATGGAGATGAGGTAATTAATGGAGTTTTAGCTCAGGTCCCACTTATAGTGGGCCCAGTGGGTCTCTGGACTCGTCCTGTGGTCATTTCCCCAGAGCCAGAATGCATAATTGGCATAGACGTACTTAGCAGCTAGCAGAACCCCCACATTCGCTCCCTGACTGGTAGGGTGAGGGCTACTATAGTGGGAAGGTCAAATGGAAGCCATTAGAGCTGCCTCTACCTAGAAAAACAGTAAATCAAAAACAATATTTCATCCCTGGAGGGGCTGTAGAGATTAGCGCCACCATCAAAGACTTGAAAGACCCAGGGGTGGTGATTCCCATCACATCCCCATTCAACTCTTCCATTTGGCCTGTACAGAAGATAGATGGATCTTGGACAATGACAGTGGATTATTGTTAGCTTAACCAGGTTGTGACTCCAATTGCTGCTGCTGTACCTGATGTGATTTTGTTTCTTGAGCAAATTAACACATCTCCTGGTACCTAGTATGCAGCCATTGACTTGACAAATGCCTTTTTCTCCATTCCTGTCCCTAAGGCCCACCAGAAGCAATTTGCCTTCAGCTGGAAAGGTCAGCAATATACCCTTACTGTCCTGCCCCAGGGCTATTTAAACTTTCCAGCTTTGTGTCATAATCTTATTTGGAGAGAACTTGATTGCTTTTTGCTTATGCAAGATATCACACTGGTCCATTTCATCGATGACAAAACTGGGCTTTGGTAGAAACTGAACGTTTGACTATGGGTCATCAAGTTACTATGCAACCCAAACTGCCTATCATGAACTGGGTGCTTTCTGACCCACGTATACATGTTTTTACATATATACACGTGTACTAAGAAAATATCTTCATTTTATTTCCTTTTCCTTTACCATGTGACGTAAGATTTATTGACTTCACATCAGCATTTAAGTATTGTTAACTCTATGTAATAGTATTTGGGTTGGGAACTGATATATTTCCAGTTGTACGTAGGACAGTTGTAATGTTATGAGTAAATATTGTTGCAGGAGTTTTCCTTAGTTTAGCTAAAGACAGGGTTCTTGTCTATCCTATAGACATGAAAATTTAGGCTCAAAGATGGTTTAAAGGGTGAGTAAAGCAAGGTTTTATTGGGTGAAAAGGGAAAAAAAAGGAGGAGGGGGGACAGGCATCCTCCTGTTTCAGAGTCCCCTGCTAGAGAGCTTCCTGCTGCTATTTGAATACTGGGTTCCACATAGGAAGAGGTGGGGCCAGGCCCCTCCCCACTGCAAAGGGCATGAACTTCCCAAGGCTCCACCTCAATGGGCAGACTGACTGGAATTTCTCCAGGGACCCCCTCCCACCTGGCTCTCATTCACCCCTCTAAAGAAGTACATGTAACCGCTGGTAGATTCAAGGTAAGGAGGAAGATGATCTTAACTGCTTCCTGCTGACAGGGGGTGCAGTTGTTGAGAAACAACAGTCAGAGCTCCCTCAGAGGAAATTTAAAGGTTCCTGGCAGAAGGGGCCATCATTAGAGGCTCTGGTTGCATGATTGTTTGGAGTTTGATGGCCTGAAGGCAAGAACAGACAAACAGGGTTATTAGAAAACATGTATCAAAATGAAACAAGGGGAGGGGTAAGGACAGCTCAAAAATTCCAAGGCCGTTTACCAGTTTGCACAGGGAGAGGGAGGCCAAAAGCCTGACTGGCAAAATAAAAACTTTACCCTTTTGCCATCATATTGGGTTTCTGGGTTACCTTCCCCTGAACCTGATCCTAAGCCAATCAGCTTAAGGTTTGGGAAATTAACTCTTTCCCTTTTGGAGGATGCATCTGAGGGAAGTGTCTCATAGTACAAAGACAAAATTACCTAACTGAAGAGAGGACTGAGGAGGAGACAGGGAAAAGAAGGTGCTTTTCAAAGAAGTCCCAGCAGTTCAGGATGCATTTGGAAGGGGTACACACTGAAGACGAATGGCCACCCACCTAGAAAGAGGGGAGCAGACATCCCTGGTTCCCTTCTCTTCCTAGCAGATACCCGGGGTACATGAGAGAGAGAAGGAAGTGTCCCTCTTTTCCTCTTCCATCCTTGCATCCCAGAGACCCAGCAACTTTGGCAGGCACCACCATGAGTGCCAAAGCGGCTTGCACCCATGAATCAGGGAGTGCCTAGAGAATGGGAATTGCCCACTCTCACCTATGCATCTATCCCTCCTACTGTCAGTAGCATTGGAGTTCCCTAGACCTCATGTATGCCATGGATACTGACATGGTCTTTATCCATGAAACAGGAAGCTTGGGTTTGGCTTAATCAGCAGGAATCTGCCATGGTCACCTGTGCTGTGCCTTTTAACCTCCATTGCCATCTGCCTCTGGAGCCATTAGATCCAGTTTTCTTTCCAGGGCTTTGACCCAAAGCTTAGAATTGAGTCTGGGACAAAAATGTGTCTCTGGGAGGGTTGCATGGACTCCTTATCATAAGCCAAATGCTAAGGTAAAACTGTGGAACTGATTTTTCCTCCAACAAGGGAGAGGAAAGGATGTTGTGTGACACACCCAGCTAACTGGTAGCTATAGTTATGCTTGCTAGGATTTGGATGCATGGTTCTTGGATTTGGTTAGTTCCCTTGGTCTTACTTTCCCAAAAAAGGAAACCTTCACATGATGGGCATTCCATTTAGTCCCTACTTATTCCAACCCCAAGCTTCCTATTGCATGGATAAAGGCCACGTTAGTATCCATGGCATAAATGAGGTCTAGGGAGCTCCAAGAAACAAATGATCATAGCACTGAGTTGTTTAAATAGACTTTGGTCTTATACTTGGCCTGTTTATTTGCATAAAGTGCAAAAAGAATAATTATTTCTACACAGGCCTCTTGGATTGGCTTTGATGGAAGTGTGTTCCACAAGGAATCACAGATAAGACCTTTTAAAGCCCAGTCCAGCCACGGATTTCCATCCTCAAATACCTGTGGGTTAGGTGATCCCCTCTTCTTAAGGTCCCAAGATAAATTTGGAGCTCCTGGACCTGTTAGAAAGTGGCATTCTTTACTGACCACAGGTCAGGAACCCTCTACAGGGACTGTGTAGACAAGAGTTATGAGGCCAGTTTCCCCACGGGGTTTTTATGGGCCCTGAAAGTCAAGCTTGACTCCTTAAAGGGAAACATACCCTTCCAGTTAAAGTCTTGATAAAATAACCTTATCCAATTGTGTCCTGTTGCAAAAGAAAAATTGAGTCTTATTGCACTGATGCAAACAACTATATTGCCATAAGAATACTTACAGATAGTTTACAAATTCTAGAGGAACTAGGCAGAGAGAAACAAATGTGCTCCAAATTTTGATCACAGGAGTACTTAATTATTAAAGGCTGTAGATAGTTTAAAATAAGTTTCCTTGACTCTGAAAAACAAAACATGGATCAGCAATATTCCAAGCAGAAGTCAAAAAGGTTGCTTCAGCTTTCTGAGTGCAATCCATTTAGTCAACTCTTGTTATGCATTATATTCATAAGCATTTCAGCTCTTTATGAATTCTGTACATTTTCCTTTATTCTAATGTTACGATCTCTAAAGTTATCAGAAGTCTGCATTTGAGAGCACCTGTTAAAGTTCTATAGCTCTTATAAACCGTCTTTTGAAAAGGATTAAAGCAAGACAACAATTGTCTGTGAATAGCAAAATGTCAAGGTTAGTTATACTTAGAAACACAATTGACAAAGAAGTTTGGTTATCTCCGTGGTTTGCAGTAACTTAACATAAAAACCTTATTTATGATTGGTAGCATATACTTAGACATTAGAATTTTAGATATCCCATACAATTTGGTACATATATTAGCATTATTCACCAAAAACCTAAAGAAGATTGAGCATCATTTTGGCAATCCCATGTACCTAAACATGTCAAATAATCCTGTTTACCTATTTTTTCTGGACACTTCAGGGGCACTCTGAAGTATTTGAAAAGCCAGCTGCCAGGGAAGACAATTTTAAAATGGAAGTTTGATTTGGGGAATGCTATTAAATGTTTGAGGTTTAAGACACTTGATATTATGAAATAGAATTCCAGATTCTAATAATAAATAATTTGTTTTGCCAAAATGATGATTCAGAAATTTTAAACAAGCAAAAACCTTTTATAACCCTTTTGAATTTAATTAATATGTTTACACAGAGAACATATTCTGCAAGATTAATTTCCACAGCTTTTCCACCACTTGTTTGAACCTTTAGCTTTCCCTATCTAACTGAATACAATCCTTTAACCCTGGGCAAAAGTTTACATTTCCATGCCTTCTTATAACCTTCTACATAAAAACACATTTTATTGTTTTTATACCTTTTGCATTTAAATTTATTTTCAGTAGTTTCAATTACATGTTATAATAGTAACTTCTACCAATTGTTGACTTTAAGGTAAAACTTGGTAAGTTGCTTTAATTGTGCATTAACTGCAGCCAAGGTTTGCCTTCTTAGTTAAGATTCTGGTTAGTTCCATATGTCCCTAGGCCTTACCAACTCTAAAGCCAGCAAGTGAAATAGTTCAGAAAACCCATAAAGCAGTTTGGAACCTTAAAACACTTAGAAAACCTTGCATCTGACTTGCATTTTACCAATAATCTTTAAGGCTGTTTTTATTTCTCAAAGATTAAAGTCACATAAACTGAAAGCTACCACAGATTTTATAATCCCTTTAAAAAATATTTGATCCAAGAACTTGTCTTTCTTTAGGCAAAATTAATTAGAACTCTTTTGACAGACATTACATACAGTACACAGATGGACAGGCAGAAGAAAACCCAGTCACTAGGTGGGGCCCTTTGAGACAGGCTAGAAAAATATGCAAATATCAAACCTGAGAGGGCTCATCCTCTCAGGCAAGATTGCTAAACAAAGCCTTGCCAAGCAGTAACCAGCCATGCCCTCAGGGTGTAAAGCAAGATGGAAACTTGATTTTACAACCAAAATTTTTCAGAGTAATAGTTGCACAGTGATAGTTGGGGCAGGGTGGGGGGGGGTGGGCGGGGGCTAGCCTAGTAAAATATCTTCTAAAAGAAAAAAACTTTAAAAGTTAACTTGCTAATGGGGTAGAAAAGGGGAAAGAAAAGAAACAGTTTAAAAATGCCTGAAGAGAAACCTCTTATTCTTATTCAAGTGGTTCCTCCACCAGGGAGAAAATCTTAAGCTTAATTACTGTCCAATGGAATAAAAACCCTTGGTTGGGGAAGGGGAAGGCTGCAGCAGCTTGTGGCTGGGAACCAGCCAGCCAGCTGTCCAGAATCCTTGGGCCATGCGTCCCAGTCCCAGCAACGAGCAGGGAGTGTGGCAGGGAGTGGGGAGTGTGTCAGGGAGTTGCTGATCATCAGTGGGTCGCAAAAAAGGAAGGAAAAGGCCTTGAAAAGGCCCAGGAGCGATGGGGCTGGGGGCATGGTTTCCCCTACCCTAAGAAGTCCGAGGATAAAAAGGCTCAGAAGCAACAGTGAGAGGTTTTGAGTCCCCATTTCACTCACTGCTTCTTGAGCCCCATGTTCGGCGCCAAAAATGTTGCAGGACTTTTCCTTAGTTTAGCTAAAGACAGGGTTCTTGTCTGTCCCACAGCCACACACATTTAGGCTTGCAGACGATTTAAAGTGTGAGTAAAGTAGGGTTTATTGGGTGAAAAGGGAAAAAAATGATCCCCTGCTAGAGCACTTCTCACCCATCATTCAAATACTAGATTTCACACAGGAAAAGGCGGGGCCAGGCTCCTCCCCACTGCAAAGGGCGTGAACTTCCTGAGGCTCCACCTCAGTGGGCAGGCTGGTTGGAGTTTCTCCAGGAACCTCCTCCCACCAGGCTGTCTCAATAAGACCTTATTATTGTCTTTATTTGAAGATTATGTATGATCTCAGGAGATGTGTATGGGTTCAAGCTGACAAGGGGTGTACTTGTGATGGTTAATACTGAGTGTCAACTTGATTGGATTGAAGGATACATAGTATTGATCCTGGGGGTGTCACTGAGGGTGTTGCCAAAGGAGATTAACATTTGAGTCAGTGGGCTGGGAAAGGCAGACCCACCCTTAATCTGGGTGGGCACAATCTAATCAACTGCCACTGTGGCTAGAATATAAGCAGGAAGAAAAATGTGAAAAGAGGCCTAACTTCCCAGCCTACATCTTTCTCTTGTGCTAGATGCTTCCTGCCCTCAAACATTGGAGTCCAACTTCTTCAGTTTTGGAACTCAGACTGGCTCTCCTTACTCCTCAGCCTGCAGATGGCCTATTGTGGGACCTTGTGATTGTGTGAGTTAATTCTTATTAAGCTCCCCTTTATCTATATATATCTGTTCCATTAGTTCTGTCCCTCTATGGAACCCTGACTAATACAATCAGTATGCTAATAAAATAAACAGATATCGAAATACCTCTGTGAAAATTCCTAGATATTTCTTTACTTCCTTCTTCATTATGAATTAAAATATCAGTAACTGATTATGTTTTGTGGTTGTTATTCCAGGTAATCAGAATCCTTATTAGAAGTATAATATAAGAGTGTGGTTTTTATCTTTACTCCATAAATTAAATGCAACCGGTATCATGTGACTACATTTTGACAACAAAATTAAATCTAACTCTATGCATTTCTCTGCCACTGTGACATGAAATTCAACTACAGTCATTGTTGAAATATTCCTCCTTTTTTGCCTCTGAGATATGAAGATTCCAGAGTCTTACACAGTTCAGAAAATGAAGGATCCCTGGTCTTTTGTTCTCACTGTTGGCTGCAGAAATGCTTGTATTTCAACTTGACATTTCTTAAGGAAGTTAACATACCAAGTGCAACAGAAGCTATAGGCTGCATGACCCAACCTTTATTTTCTACCTCGTTCTCTTTTGCTTTTCTCCAACATAAAAGACTATCAACACTAAAGACTGAATTTACCAGCCTCTATGGGTTGGGTAATCTATGTGATGCAGTCTCGACAATGATTTGAAAGTAAAAGGTCGCTGGTATTGCTTTTCAACCTGGGTACTTTCCTATTCTGCTTTTGTGAACAACAATGTAAGGCTGAAGATACAGATGCCATATGAAAAACAAAAATATAAAAAGCCAGCATGTTATGGTTGGCAGAATAGAGAGACAGCAAGAGCCCATGTCCTTAATGACATTGCTAAATGGCTGAGACAATGCCAAAAACCTGTGAACTAAATGCTATGTCAGAAAAATAAACAGCTATTTGTTTAAGATATTTTAAAATTCTGCCTTGTAGTTTAACATATCTCTAATTTAAACCCCAAACTTGGTTAAGGGGATTCTTATCTAGTATGATAGCTCTGCTGCCAATGGTCCCACTTAACTAGGTATATCAGGCAGTCATTATCCATAATTAGGGCTCTGTCTTTCTGGGATATTGTGATAATGTATGTATAGTTCTCTGTTTTCTTAGTTATTTGGGGCTGCTATAACAAAATATCATAGACTACATAGATAAGGAACAACAGAAATGCATTCTCACTGTTCTGGAGGCTGGGAAATAAATAAAGGGTCAAGGCATTGGCAGGTTTGGTGTCTGGTGAGGGCTGCCTTGTGGTTTATAGACGGTGCCTTCTAGCTGTGTCCACACGTGGTAGAGGGAGCAAAGCAATTCTCTGTGGCCTTTTTTTTACAAGGACCCATTCATAAGGACTCTGGCTTACGATTTAATTAACTCCCAAATGCCCCACCTCATAATACCCATCACATTGGTGATTTGGTTTCAACATATGAATTTTGGAGGTACACACTCAGACCATAGTATCTGCTTTCCCTCATAAGACCCCAAGAGCTTGTCTCCTTCCCAGTCCTGGAGAATTTCACCCTTCCCCAGAGTGGTAGATGCAGCCTCTACTCTCCAAACACTTTGCTTATCCTCTTTGCCTTTGGAAAGATTAGACATATACACTAAAGATGGCCTTTTAGACCTCTAATTTGGGATCTCTTCTTAAAGGTGAGATAGAGAAAAGAATGGAGTAGGGAAAGCAAATGCTGATACTAGATACATTTTTCACATTAATCTGTCAAATTACACTGCTATAACCTATCCTATCTTGGGGTAAGAATTTGATTTAGTCTTTCAAAAGATCAATTTTAAATTCTAGGTTCTGTCTCAGCTACCAGTCAATCAATTAAATGATCAACATACCCAATATATTGTTGGCTTACATAGCAAAGAACAAATTCCCATGTTTTAAAATTTAAGGTCTACTATTAAAGATAATAACAGATAAAACTAAAATTTAATTTGAAAACAGATATTATTACCAGAAATAAAAGAAAATACAAGTCCCTTTTTAGCTCTATGTTAGCCACTTGAAATCTCCTTCAGTCCAGAGTCCCCATATTGTGTTTTCATAGAGTACAATTTAAAAACATTTTTTGTCCAGAAATAAGCAGAGCTTATTTGTAAAAAAAAATTAAAAGTGCAGCCTTATTGTTTTCTGGATAAAGATAAATATGCTGTCATTTTTCCCATCTTAGGGGAAACAAAGAAAACAAAAACAATCACTTACCTTTACTTCTCCCATTTGCAATTCCTCTATTTCTCTGTTCCCCTTTGTAGAAAATCTCCTGAGTGTCTACATGTGCTGTTTCCAGTTCTACTCCAGACCCTTAAGACTATTTTAATCAGACTTTACCCTCAACAATGCGCCATGATGATCTTGTCAAGGTTGCCAATTACCTCTTCATTGCTAAATTAAACTACCAGTTCTTACTCCTTTGTCCTTCATTCATTTTATTTCTAAATTTTCGGATCCTTGAGATCTCTCGCTTTTCCTCCTATCTATTTGCCCATTCTCAATCTCATTTGCTGTTTCTGACAATCTCTCATGACCTACCAATGTGGAAGTGCCCTAGGAATCAGTCCTTAGATCTCTTCTCTTTCCTGTACACACACACCACCTTGGTGATCTCACCCATTGTGATAATTTCAAATACCATCTTTATGCCTACATCTCCCAAATGTATATCTCCAGCCCCATCCCAGATCTTTTACCTGGTCTACCTCATCTCCAGGTTCATATATCCACCTCATACCTGAAATTTCCAATTGGAGATATATATAAATTCTTTTTCCTAAGAATTCAAAATAAAGTTCATCAATTTATTTTCTAAGGAGTAAAGCCATGAACAAATAAATATAATAATAACCCACTTTTTGCACCTAGCCAGATTTTTCAATAATTAAATCTTTCACAGATTAATAATCAAATGTTCGAGATGATGTGTAGATTCTCTAAAATGTAATTTCTGAAATAGTCAAATATGTGCTTCAGAAGCATTAAATAAAGCTTATTCTTTCTTAATTCAAAGAAAAATATGCCAAGTTGCAATCTCAAAGCAGGAGTTATCTTAACTTTGCATATTTTTGTCTCAGAAAACAGCAATTCAACATCTTGTGTCACTGCTATTGTTAACAAAGCTGCCCACTGCTTTTCTCCTTCTCAAGCTAAATGAGAGCATGTTGTCCATTTTGCATAGGATTGTGAACAAATAGCCATGTGGTCACAACAACTACTTTAATCAGTTCAGAACAAAACCTCCTCACGTAAAAGAACCAGACAAGCAAGGTACTTCTGGGGATTTGGTAGATTTCTAAAGAATCCTCAAGATACCATGGATGTACCAATATCATTCAAAAGATTCTGTTAATTTTGGGAGATCTTAGTGTGATCCAGGGGTAATATTAGAATCTCTTCAGCCTGCTCTACAGAATACAATTGACTTTTTATATACTAATATATAAAAATTTTATAGATATGTAAAATATTCAAGAATTATGCTAAGAATTTCCAATCTTATCAAACCTTTAAATTGCCAAATCCTGTTAATTTCTATTTATCGTTATCAAATGTAAATATCCCACTTTCTGAAGACTTAGTCTGTAAACAATAAGAACATCATTTGAAAGTATGTTCATGTTGATGCTGGGATAAATTTTAAAGAAGGATTTAATTCTCTTTAAAGGAAATTGGAAATGGGTTTAAAAACTCTTGCCAAAATTTGTGTTCAATTATAACTACCAGAAAGAAAATCAATACTAGAGAAAAAAATTACAAGTTGCTAAACTATAAAAATTATGTGTAAAAACAATCAATTATAACATGATAATTGTAATCATAATAGCAGTTCATAGTTATACAGAAGACTTTCTGTACACAATACTGTTACATATATTACACACATCATCTCATTCAGAACTCATAACAAAATTATAATGTAAGTATTACAAGGTTTTTTTTTTTTTTGATAGTGTCTTGCTCTGCCATGCTGGAGTACAATGGCAATCATGGCTTAACTCAGCCTCAACTTCCTGGACACAACTGATCCTCCTGCCTCAACCTCCCAAGTAGCTGGAACTACAGGTGTGCACCACTATGCCTGGGGAATTAATTTTTTTATTTTTTGTAGAGATGGGGTCTCACTATATTGCCCAGGCTAGTGTTGATCCTGGACTCAAGCAGTCCTGCCTCAGCATCCCAAAGTGCTGGAATTATAGGCATGAGCCAGTACACATAGCCAGAAGTCACATAGGTGGTAAAGGATGATAACAAGATTCCAACTCATACACGCTTAGACTCTAAAACCCATTTACTTTACCACAGGTTAAGTATGCTTATCTACAAAGCGTAACAGGACCCAATAACTTGTGCTTGCTACAGGGGGAGGGGGCACCAGGGGAGATGATGAATGCGAATTTCTGGCTTTGGGAACTAACTCGGTCATTGCTGTTGAAAAAGATTAAAGAAACATACAAAAGCTTTGAAATATACTAACCATAGAGTCAGTGGCAAATGGAAGTGAATTAACGACACTGGTTAGTGCCTGGGAAGGTTCAGTCCAGTGGGTGAGTCAGGGCAGCAAGGAGTCCACAGATGATGATAAAAACTGGGTCTATTATATTCCAATCATTTCATTAGGCTCTGCAGATACTAAAAGAAAGAATTGTATAAAAGCATTAATAGTTGACCCTCTACAGGTAAGAAGGGGCAAAATCATAAAATGTCTTGAGTGGCAGGCTTTAAAAAGTTGGTGTTTTGTTCTGAGGTTGACATATGAACATCTAGGGGAGAACATGGCGGGATGTAAATTTCAGAAAAATCAGCCTAGGTAACGGTTCAATTCAACAAATATACGTTAAGAATCTTCTGAGAGCCTGGGCCTGGGAGTGTGCCAGGCAGTGGAGATACAGTGATAAATGCTTGCTGAAGAGCGCTAAGGGACAATGTCCAGAAAAAGAGCAGGCCTAACGGCATCTTTTTAGCAAGTTTCCTGGCAGTAAAGTGAAAAAGGATGAATGACAGCAACTTAGTTTACTTGCAGCTTCCTGTAAATTTAGTCATCTGAACAAGAGGGGACTGAACTGTTTCAAAACAGAAAGCAAGTAACTGATTTTTAATGACTTTCCAATATTTATGATAGTACTAAGAACTTTTAAAAGTCTATTTCCTTGGGAGACCGAGGCGGGCGGATCACGAGCTCAGGAGATTGAGACCATCTTGGCTAACACGGTGAAACCCGGTCTCTACTAAAAATACAAAAATTAGCCAGGCGTGGTGGTGGGCGCCTGTAGTCCCAGCTACTCTGGAGGCTGAGGCAGGAGAATGGCGTGAACCTGGGAGGCGGAGCTTGCAGTGAGCTGAGATCGCACCACTTCACTCCAGCCTGGGCGAAAGAGCAAGACTCCGTCTCAAAAAAAAAAAAAAAAAAAAAAAAAAGAATTCTAAATTAAAGTAGCTTATAGATTAGCTGGGATTTCTCCCCACCCTCACCAGTCCCTGTAGATCCTTAAATTTTTGATTAGCCAAAACTTAAAATGGCTATCAAAGAACTGTCAAAGAAAATTGCCTCAGATCAGTTAAACAGTCAAGGAAGATGTTATTCAATGGTCTTGCAGTGGGAGTCAAGACTATTGGAGTGATAAAGAGAGATTGAACTCAACTCCACTATAAGAGAAATGGGAGAGCTTTTAAGTGCTGGGATGAGCTAGCAGAAAAGTACTGGAGAATGTTAGTTTGAGGTTGATCATTTTGATCAGGCCATCTGTGTTTGATGATAGGTGTTTATTGAAGTTGGCTCCTGCATTCCCACAGAAACCGGAAGATAGGAGCCCTATCTTTCTTGATAATTATATTCCAAAGGCTTGGCTCCCAGATCCCTGAGAAAGACATTTCTTAGTTATAAAACTGACAAGAGGTTAGGAAAAGACTCACATTTCACAGGGACAGGGAAATCATTTACACTTGCAAGTTTTCTGAAGTAAGTGATTTAAGAAAAGGAAAGCAAGGAGCCTACAGTAAAAAAGAAACTTGTCGAAAGTTTATTCTAGCTGAGAAGAACATTAAAGCCATCTTGCTGATTACTAGCAATGGTAATTCAAATTTTTTAGGTAACATGAAACAGTCTCATATTTAACCTGGTTAAGTTAGATGAAGAACTATTTTGATAGTTGGTGTGAAGCTGTAGAAAGTTCTGCCTGTGGCTCTCTAGTGGACCACATGTCAGGGAATGCTTTCTAATTTTTAGGTTGGTGAAAAAGCAATCACAGTTTTTGCCATAAAGTAATGGAGTTTTTCACTGCCATGAAGTAATGGCAAAAAGTGCGATTACTTTTTCATCAGCCAAATATTAATTCTGTGTACCCTTTTCCCACAAAATACGTATTAATACTTAGCCATGTATTTGGTGTCAGGGAAAGTTGCTACCAAAGGCAAACAGTTTTTTTCCCCCACCTTATTATTTTGACATAATGTAATCGTTCTTATGAATAGAATTATTGGGTCCAAAAAATAAGTAGATAGATCTAAGCTTAAAACATTTAATTTTGAAAAATAAATCTCATAATGACATTTGTCCTAGGGATTTCTAAAAAATAATAACCCAGGCACATTAAAATTTTAAAGATTTTATTTAAGCAAACAGGAATTCATGAATCGGGAAGCGCCAAAATGCAAGTTGTTCAGGGCTCCACCAAAAGTCCAAGGGGGGAAACTTTTACAAGGTATAAAGACAGACACCTAGATAGACAGATAGAAGCAAGACAACGAAAATGATTGGTTAGAGAGAAGAATCTCGAGGTAGAGGTTAGTTAGATGTTATTGATTAGTTAAGCTTAAATTCTGCTTTCCTCGGCTTTGACCGTTCACCCTGAGTTGGGTTTTGGTTTACATAGGAACCCAACCGACTGAAACTGTTTCAGCCTAATGACTTCCAAATTAATTATTTTAACAGAATCTAATTTGTGACATTAAGGAGTTTCGCATTAACAGGTAATATGTTCTCTGTAAAATTATATCATTATATTGTGCTCTTGTAACAAATGAGACAAAAAAAACTTGCGTGAACACATTTTACAAAAATAAATGTAAACCCAGCAATATTTTATATGTTGACAGTCACTAGTTGATTTTGAAAGCATTTAACATCACTAGTAATGTAAATGTAAAGAAACAATGTCTGTTTGTCAAAACTACAAGAAAATAGTAACAGAAAAATTTGTCTAAATTCATTTTTTTATAAGAAATGTGAAAATTGATGATTTCTTCTCCTGCCTCCCTGTTAGGCATTGCAAACCTTCAGAGTTCCCAGTGAAAAGAATGTCTCTGATACTTTACGCTGAATTTATTCTAACATAGTTCATGAAGCAGAATGATAGAATTATTTCTTTACTTTCAGCTTATTTTTTTTTAATTCACACTAAAAGGCCTTACTTCAGGCAATGTTCTATATCTGCTGCTTAATCTTGTGTCCTCTCTTTGACTGTATATCCAGCTGTGTGTCTGTGTGTGCGCGCGCACAAGCAAGCTTGCATTATTATCTTAGATTCTGGAGATCTCTACCAGCCATCTCTCCAGAATCCTGCCAGTACCCAGTGTGATAACGAACAGCTATTGATATAGGAAGAACATCATGTAGAGCATTTAAACTAGTGCCCTTTATTGCCAGAGAAACCATGGTAAAATGAAAGATCTGAAGGAAAAAATTCGCACACACACAGCCACAGACACACACACACACACACACACACACACACACACACACAGTCAGTCCTCAGGTACTAACTTCATACTTAATTCTTTGCAATAAAGTTACAAGTTATTGGCTTGTTTTTCTTTTGTTTTTGATCAAGAAACTAAGAATAATATAGCTTCTCTTGGCCATTAAGAAAGAATTAGATTTAAGGAACATTTTAGATCATCCCTAAAAGATCTCAAAAGGAAGTAAATTAAAACACTGAGGGAATTGATTAAAGAAAGGTTTCAGGAACCACAATATTCAGATTATGTTATGAATTGTTTTCATATACTTGTATTTTTACTTATTTCATATCACTTTTCACCACTACTAAAAGTAAAATTTTCACTAATGCCAAAGTATTTTTATCATTTTATTGTGATGATAGATCTTCCTGGCTTATAGGAAAAATTTTAAGTGCTTAACAGATTTAAAAAAGATCCAAAAACATTTTCCCCCAAAAGTAGGTTACTTGATTTTGAGTTACATGAAATTTCCTTATATAATTTTTATTGTAAAAAATACTTGAAAATGAAAATATAAGTTGTATCAACTTATAACACATTGACATTATTTTACAAATACTGTTGTCTCAAATTTAGAATCAAATTTGGTAGTTGTAAAATAAATGTCCTATTAAAAATATTTGGCCTGCTAGTAAATGACTAGCTAACCTATATGGTACACAGGAGCATGATATTTTTAAAGTCTGTAATGGTTCCACTCAGTTTCTATATTTTGAACTTAATCAAACACCATTAATAAGTGATCACTGCCAAAATATATGACATTGATGTGATATTTTATCACATGCACAAAATTACTCTAAACAAAACAATGTATTTTCAAATCATAATAGAGTTAAGAAATTGTCCTGATTATTTTAATTTCATCTACTGCTGGTGAAATGTAACATTGATATGATTAGTTTTTAAATTTTGGTCATGATTTTTTTATATTTATTGACCCAATAATTTCATCCTTGGAATAATTTTCAGGAAAAATCCTGCCAAAAAATAAAATAAAGTGGACATACGGAAAGTGGTCAATGCCTTCTTACATATAATGGGAAGGAGGAAAAAGAAATAGAAATTATGAGTGACTTAGGGGAATGAATAAGTAGGGAACAACAATCTACTCGGATAATATGCATCCTTTCAAAATTTTAATTACTAAGAATGTATGAATTTGAGAAAATTATTTCAGAAAGAATACTATTCTGTTAATTGTAATTTCAAGGATCTGTCTTCCATTATAGGCCTTGCTAAATAAGAAAAATACATGTGGAAATTTTTTTTCTTCTTTTTTGTTTTGCTTATTTGTTAATAATACACATAGATAAAACTTATTTTTAAAATAATGTATATGCCTAGGCCTCATCCCTAGAAGCCCTTAATTTCAAAAGTTAAAGGTTGCATACAAGGATCTGTATTTTTAAACAGCAGCAACATTTTTTTTAACATAGAGCTGGGATTAGAGACCAATACATTAGATGGAGTTTTTCAATGCAGAGATTCATCATTCAACTGTTTAAGTGTGCTTCTATCGGGTTGAAAATAGTTACAGCACAGTCTGTGAGCAAAGAATAAAGTAAGATTATAAAGGTAGATGGAGACAAAATTGAAGCATGGATTATGTGATGTTAAATACACAGACACACACACACACACACACAAGTTAATAAAATAAAACGAGACTACAAAAGGGAAAAAGGCAAATTGACGAATTGAAAACATTTGGTTTGTAAAGTGGAAAATTACTGAATTATAGTTAATTTTTTCCCTTTTATTAATTTTTATGAGAGCTTTTACTATTTTGTGGGAAAAAATCTTATTTGTTTTAAAGAGAAAGAATCTTCTGTGGATAATGAACCAACATATTTATATCTTCAACTGAAGTGACAAATTTATAAATAACTCATGTGTGGTGTATACGACCCACACTTGAGAAGATAAATTAGAGAACTGCAGTTTCATTAACTGTTTAAGAGAATCAAATAAAAAACATGAGTATTAACTAAACCGACTGTTACCATATGATCCAGAAATTGTGCTCCTTGTTATTTACCCAAATAAGTTGAAATTTTATTTCCACACAGAAACCTGAACACAGATGTTTATAGCAGTAAGATGTCTGTGATAGCTAATTTTATGTGTCAACTTGTCAACTTGCCTGGATGCCCAGATATCTGGTTAAATAATATTGCTAGGTAAGTCTCTGAGGGTGTTTCCAGAAGACAGTAGCATTTGAATTAATAGACTAAACAAAGTAAGTTGCCTTCTCCAATGTGAGCGAGTATCATCCAATTTTTTGTGGGCCTAAAAAGACAAAAGTGATGAAAGAAATGAGAATTCACTCTCTCTTCTTGACTTTTTGATCTGGAACATTGATCTTCTGTGGCCTTTAACTGGGTCTTATATAATCAGCACTCTTGGCTCTCAAGACTTTAGACTCAGAAACTCAGACTAAAACTAGTCTACTGGCTTTTCTGGGTCTCTGGCATACAAACATGACATTTCTCAGCCTTTTATAACCATGTGAGCAACTTTCTTATAATAAATCTATATATATATATATAATCTCCTATTGGTTCTGTTTCTCTGGAAAACCTTGACTAATGTAGACTCTATTACTGAAGGTGGTTCTAGAGGAACAGAATTTTAAGAATAAGTTTTGTATATTGGTTCTGGGATTTTGGGAACTGACTTTCTAATCTGATTGGGTTTGAAGATGTGAAGACTATTTTCAGTAGTAAAGAGAGCATCGATGTTCCATGGCATCAACTGCTGAGAGATACACAAACTAACTACATACAGTATTCTTAGTCAACCACTTATAAGAAGCAAAGAGCTGGGTGACTGTGTGTTTAATACTTTCCAGAATTTTTGGAAAACTAACAAATACAATGAGGTTGTCTGATTGCTACTAATGTGACTGAAAAAGCAGGGAAACAAAAGGATTATCACAGAGATTCAAACTTCTAGCTCAAGTACCACATAAATGACCTGAAAGCTTCCAGGTGTCCACTGAAGGAGACCCTTATCTACTGTAGCTATAAGATTGAAATTGCTGAAAATCAAATGAAGAATCTCATCCTGTAACTGGCTGAACTACAATGGAAACTGAACTCCATTTTTTCCCTAATTGGGAAAAAATAGGATCCTGTAAATTGGGATGGTAACATGTGGGAAAACACTGATGAAGCTGAGAACATCAAGCCCCTAAATCCTGAGTCTTCTTTGCCAGTGAGAAATGTGTCCCCTACCTGCAGGAAGAATGACCTCCCATTCCTAGCAGAAATGTCCTCCCAACTCCCAGCAGTATCAGCCTTTCCATCCTTTCCTTGTCTGAGGAAATGAATCCTGCATTGCCTGAGGAATCCATAATGACCTTCTCTGAGGCAGTTGCCATGCAAGACATTGCTGACTTTCTTCAAGCCAAACCCCCACCAGCCCTCTTTCTTCTAGACCTGTAACTACTCACAAATCTCAGCAGATCTCCAAAGGTAAGGTACAAAGTGTGACCAATGAAGAATTGTCCTACACTCCAAAAGAACTACTTGAGTTTTCTAATTTCTGCAAGAAGAAACCAGGGAACATGTATGTAGAAATGGATATTAAGAGTATGGGATAATGTTGGAAGCAACATAAAGTTAGATCAGGCCAAATTTAATGATATAAGATCACTAAGCAGAGATTTTGCATTTAATGTTGATGCTTGTGGAAATTAAAAAGGATTCTAACAGTTTTATTGGTTGGTTGGCTAAAACATGGACCTCATAACCTGCAGTGAGCAAATTAGAAATGCCAGACCAGCCTTGGTTTAATGTAGAGGAAGGAATTTAAAGGCTTTGGAAGACTTGAATGTTAGATGGGATTTTGTCATTGCAGATCTACTCATTTACACTGGAAGGGTCCAGAAGATATATCTTTCTCTACTAGCATGAGAACAAAATTTGTGAGGGGAGCCATGGTATTCTTGAAGTATTCTGTGATCTCACTTTTCTGTAGGCAAGACCGTGGGGTGGGAACTACAGCCACTGAATCAGGAATCCTAAATGCAATGGAAGCAACTGATTCCAGGGTGGAATGTTTAAAGTGGTGGCACTCAGTCATCAATGGAAAGGTAGGTGTAGTTGCCATAGTGAATGGCAGAGTCAAAGCAGCAATAAGAATAGTCTGGCTCCTACACACCTATTGCATTGGCTCGTTTATCATGGTGTTCCTAGAAATGAAATAAATATTCCTATTTATTCCTACTAAATTGTTACTTGATCTATATAAACAGAAAAGTTTTAGGTGAAAGAAGTAAAAGTCTAACCTGAAACATTAAGACAGAGGCACTGCTTATCAACCAATTCCCAGAGTTGATCCAGTTTACAGACCCAAAGTCTTTCTCACTCCATTGCCCAGGCTGGAGTGCAGTGGCACAATCTCGGCTCACTGCAACTTCTGCCTCCCTGGTTCAAGCAATTCTCCTGCCTCAACCTCCCGAGTATGTGGGATTACAGGCATGTGCTACCACACCTGGTTAATTTTTATATTTTTAGTAGAGACAGGTTTCACCATATTGGTCAGGCTGGTCTCAAACTCCTGATCTTAAGTGATCTGCCCACCTCCACCTCCCAAAGTGCTGGGCTTCCAGGCATGAGCCACCATGCCTGGCCCATATCCAAAGTCTTTTGAACAAAGGGGAGGCCAGGTACCCTTGAGGAAGGATCCCAGTACACTACCAAAAATTTATATTGGTGATCTTTCTCCCAGACTTCCCCAAAGAGACTTATGACCTTTTATCAGGGTAGCTGTGCACTAGGGGAAAAGGAAATAATCAGACCTTTTGGAGAATACTAGACACTAGCTCTCAACTGACATGAATTCCAGAAGGCATAAAATGTCACTGTGGTCTAACAGTCATATTATGGGTTATTGAAGTCAGGTGATGAAGCTTTAGCTCAAGTCTATCTCACAGTAAGCCCAGGAAAAGTCCCTTACCCCATCCTTTGGTTATTTATACAGACTCAGAATGCACAATTGGAATAGGTATACTCAATAACTGGCTCCCTGATATGTGGAGTGAGGGCTATTATGGTGGGAAAAGTAAGTGGAAGCCATTAGAAATGCCAGTAAACTGAAAGCAACATTGCATTCCTGTAGGAATTTCAAAGATTAGTCCCACTATCCGGGACTAGAAAGATGCTGGGATGCTGATCCCCACCCACATCCCCATTTAACTCTCCTATTTTACCTATGCAGAAGAAAGATTGATCTTGGAGACTGACAGTGAATTATTGTAAGCTTAACTAGGTAGTGGTTCCAATTGCAGTTGGTATATCAGATGTAGTTTCATTGCTTGAGCAAATTAACACATCACCTAATGCTTGGTATAGAACTGTTAATGTGGCAAATGCCTTTTCTTTCATCCCTGTCAATAAGGCCCACCAGAAGCTGTTTGGTTTTCGCTGACAAGGCCAGCAACACACCCATACCATCTACCTCAGGAGTATATCATACTCTCCAGCCCTATGTCATAATTTACTTTGCAGAAATCTTGATCACCTTTTCCTTCCCTAAAATATCACGCGTCAATTACATCAATAGCATTATGCTGATTGGACTTAGTGAGCAAGAAGTAACAACCACTCCAGACTTACTGGAAAGAGAGTTTCATGTCAGAAAGTAGTAAACAAATCTGACAAAAATTCAGAGCATTCTACCTAAGTGAAATTTCTAGAGGTCCAGTGGCATATGGCGTGCCAAGATATCTTTTCTAAGGTGAGGAATAAGTTGTTGCCTCTGGCCTCTCCTACAATCCCAAACAAGGCAAAATATATAATGGGTCTCTTTGGATTTTGAAGGCAATATGTAATTCATTGGGATGTGTTACTGCTGCCCATTTACTTAGTGACCTGAAAAACTGCTACTTTTGAGTGGGACACAGAAAGACAAGGCTTTGCAACAGGTCTAGGCTGCTGGGCAATCTGCTCTGCCACTTGGGCCATATGATTCAGGAGATTCAATGGCAAATTCAAAGGTAGATTGGGATGCTATTTTCAGCCTTTGGCAGGAAACCACAGGTAAATCACAGCATAGATTCAAGATTGCAGGGCAAAGCTTTGCCATCTTCTGCAGATAACTACTCTCCTTTTAAGAAACAGCTCTTGGACTGGTACTGGGTATTAGTAGTGACTGAACACATAACCATGGACCACCAAGTTACCATGCACCCTGAGCTGACTATTATGAACTGGGTAGGTATCCACAGCAGCACTTCATCATCAAATAGAATTGCTGTATAAGTAACTGAGCCTGAGGCACAATTAAGTTATATGAAGAAATAGCCAAATGCTCATGGTTTCCACTGCTGCTACACTGCCTTCTCTCTCCCAGCTGCCTACACCTATGTCTTACTGAGGAGTTTCTTAATATCAGTGACAAGGGAAGAGAAAACTCTGGCCTGGTTTACAGATGGTTCTGTATGATATGTTGACATCACCCAAAAGTAGACAGCTGCCGGATTACAACCTCTTTCGGGGACATTCCTGAAGAGCAGTGGTAAGGGAAATCTTCCCAGTGAGCAGAACTTTCAGGAGTAAATCTGGTTGTTTTCCTTGCTTAGAAAGAGAAATGGCCAAATGTGTCATTATAAACCTAATACATGGGCTGTGGCTAATCGTGTGACTGGATGGTCAGGGAATTAGAAGAAACATGATAGGAAAACTGGTGACAAGGAAATTTGGGGAAACATGTGGTTGGACCTTTCTGAAAGAGCAAAAAACGAAGATAAATGTGTTGCATGTGAATGGTCACCAAAGGGTGACCTCAACAGAGGAACATTTTCATAATGAAGTGGATAGGATGACCCATTTTGTGGATACCAGTCAGTCTATTTCCCCAGCCCTTCCTGTCATCATTCAGTGGGCTCATGAACAAAGTGGCTATGGTGGTGAGGATGTAGGTCATACATGGGCTCAACAACATGGACTTCTACTCACCAAGGTCAGCCTGGGTATGGCCATTGCTGAATGTCTAATCTGCCAGCAGCAGAGATCAAC